>NC_000007.14:118567385-118870415 GCF_000001405.40 Homo sapiens | reverse complement strand
CCTGAGATCTCTGAAAATGCCCAACCACCAAGGCAGTAGTTAGAATCCACTTTTCTTACCTTGGCTCATGCACTAGGTTGCCTGGTTGCCACAGTGCCTGCTTTTCTCCGTGTGTCACTTCTGCTGCCTCCTGAATAAAAGTTTCAGGTTTGGCCAAGGCTTCTGCAGGGAGCTAGGACACCCGGAGAGGGTGGGTCACTTAAATCTGGTAGAACGCATCTCCCCTCTTGGCTGGAGTCTCACTCCACGCAGGCACAGAGATCCTCATAAGGGCCACCAGGTTGTGAGAAACAAACTCACCAGTCCAAGCCCAAAGAAGGGACTCAGAGACCCAGAGAACAGTGAAAGTGAGACTTTTTTTTTTCTTTGTTTTTTTTTGACAGAGTCTCACTTTGTCACCAGGCTGGAGTGCAGTGGTAGAATCCTGGCTCACTGCAACCTCCACCTCCCAGGTTCAAGCGATTCTCCTGCCTCAGCCTCCCGAGAAGCTGGGACTACAGGCGCGTGCCACCATGCCCAGTTAATCTTTGTATTTTCAATAGAGACAGGTTTCACCATGTTGGCCAAGATGCTCTCTATCTCCTGACCTCATGATCCTCCTGCCTCAGCCTCCCAAAGTGCTGAATTACAGGCATGAGCCACCGCGCATGGCCAAAAAATGAGACTTTTAATGACGGTCTTGCAAGATAGGGTGTCTGATAGGCAGGAACACCCAGCACAGTCACAACAAGCAATTTATTCCCTAGTGCAGAGGTCTCTCCCCCTTTCCTCATAGGCTGGGTACTATGGGGTCACAATCTTCCTGGACATCGCCTATTGATTATTGAGTAGGGGCTTTAGGTGTTTTCTTTAGGGTTGTCTTGCTGCATTTTGTTGCAGCCCACAATGCATTTCAATCCTAGTTAGATTACGAGCTCTTTAAGTATTTGACTTACGATCTAAGCAGCTGGGCAGGCTGATAAGAACAGACAAAGTGAGCTATTTTGCAGGCTAGTAAACTTTCATTTTAGACTAAACTTTTTTGGTTTGGGTGAAGACAACTAAGGCAGGAAGAAGGGAGTGAAAAGAGGGAGGCTGACAAGCAGGTGTCAGCTGTCTAAGCAGGGGCCTAGTATATCCTGTTTCTTCTGTAGTTTGCTGACCTAAGCTGATTCAAGGCACTTTGTCTTGGAAATGGGCCACTGTATACATTATTTCCTTCATAAATACAGAGACTTTTTACCTATCAGTTAACCAACTCAGTTCACATAACCTGTTTGTGAATATAAAAGACTTTCATCCTCAGCTATTTAAATACGTGTAGCTGTGCATATTTGAGTTGTAGTCTGCAACCCATAGCCATTTTCCCTTACTTCACTTTATTTGCTGTGATAACAAGAGTTCCTTCATGACTATATGCTCTGTTGTTGTTATTTTCCTTTTTTAAGGAATAAACTTTACCTGCAGATGAGAATAGTGAATCAGAAACTAGGGTTTATTAATCTTATATTTCACTGAGTCACTTATATAATGCATATCTTGAAAGTTATTATATATGTTTATTTATTTGTACAATATATATAACAATGCCTTACAATAATGTTGGGAAACAAGTTTTCTTCTTCATCTTTTTACCAGAGATTATTTTTTAAGTGAATTCTACATAATTTGTTTATATAGCAAGAGGGCAAAATAAAATATTTCTTGAAGCCACATAATTATAGAGAATAGATTTCAAGGTAGGCAGCACATAAGAATCAAAATAAACTACGTGGCTTATATCATTTGGGAGATAGCTCATTGCTCTCTCTCAAGTACCTTATTTTAACATCAGAGATCCTTTGTATTTCAATTATTTACATTGTAAATTTCCTGCCTTCAACCAAGAGGAACAAAAAATACGGGATGACATCTCATAATACTTCCTTAAAGTTTATGCTTAGCAGAACCCTTTGTCCTGAGGTCAACTAAAAATAATTGTTGATAAAAAGAAGGAACTGAGGCTAAGTTCAACATTCACTGAATTAGTGACTTTGGCTTTTAGGATTATCTGAATGCTTTCTGAATTATCTTTCTTTCTTTCTGTCTTTCTTTCTTTCCTTTCTTTCTTCCATCCTTTATTTCATTTTTCTTTTTTGAAAATGGCTTTGATGGACCTCTGAATATGGTCAGTTTCTGCCATTGGTATCTCAAGTATGGCCAAAGCTTCATGTTGAAACACAAGGTAAAACAAAGAGAAAAAATGACCTGCATAATTAAGAGAAGAAATTTGAATTTCTGAGAATAGACCAAGAGGGAGGAGAGATTAGCTCAGCAGAACCAAAATAAGTCCCTGAAATACGTTGAGATAAGAGGGATATTCTAAGGGATATGACAAATGACAAATGGCTTCTTTGGAGTAAAAAAAAAAAATTGCTAAGAATAGTGGTTAAAGATTAATTTAAATACTGTTTTCTGGAACTCTTTTATCGCCAAAACTTCAATAATATTCTGCCAGACATGACAACCTTGGGAATATACTGTGGAAAATAAGAACGTGTTGGGATACATGAGTGCAGAGGCACTAAACAACTTATTGTTCTGAACGATCTTTCTAAGGATGTTTGTATAGCTCATAGCCTTGAAGACAGAAATAATGTCTCTCTCTATAGTAGAGGGCAGGTTTGTTTGCTGTTTGGTGTAATAAAGACAATGCTGCTCTCTGGGGGCAAATATTCTCTTCTTAAAGTGTATTGAAGAGTTTGGGATTTTCTAAACTCAGGGTTCCTTTCTATAATCCACTCTATTTGTTATGTGGCATTATAGGAATCAAAGCTTAGGAAAATGACAAAATGGTGATTATCTGGCCACGACATTGGTAAGGGATAATGCTTTGTAAGGGATAATGCTTTGTCATTTGTCTCTGACCCAGGAGTCTCGTGTTGCCTGTTAGAGTTCATGAAACTGTGGCAAGCTAACCTGTTAGTTTGCAAATAGGGTAAATTCTAAATCTCTTCACAGCCCTATACAAGGGTGATGTTCAACATGGGACGCAATTGGCCAATAAGACATGACAGCAAGTAGCAGGTGCTCAGAGTTACAGCTAAGAAAGAGGAGGAGGGAAACAATGACTGACATATATGAAATGTGACCTCTACTCCATGTTACTCAAGTGCCAAAGATATTAAGGAGGATACCAAAAGGATTCCTCACGTAAGTGTTGTGGATGTGGATATATTCTATTTGGATCTTAAAGGAAAAGGTGGCCTGAATAAATTAAGAGGGGTAGGAAATATTGGAAAAATCACATCTACATCTTTCTTCCCTATCTAATTGTTTATTTTTCAGCAGCAATGACTATTTCAAATATCTATTTGGCTATAAGAAAGAATTTTGGCTGAAAACTTTCATTATGACAACATATGCTGCTTTGAACAAATTACATTAATATACTATGTAATTAAAGAGAACATTTCCAAATCTTAATACATATTTGTCATATTTCATTATTTAATAGATTACTTTCTCCAGAATAAATACTGGAGTGTAGTATAGATAATACCTATATTAATGAGAACTAACCACAATTATAAAAATATAATTATGGATCATAGTTTTTCTAATTTTACAAGTTTGGAATTTGTGGTAACTTGAAAAAGGGTGTGAACCAAGGTTTACATTGGTCATGATAATCATAAAGAGTTGGTAAGAAATCAGCATTGAAATAAAAATTAAGAAATGTCATTTCTTACAAAACAAGTTCCAGGCATCAAGGAAATATTTTGGATACTGCAAATTCAAAAATATTCCTGCAGTAGGAATTGAAACTTGATTATATGGGTTGATAGCTTAATATACTGCTTCATGAATCATTTCTATCTACTAATAAAGACATTTAATAAAACATATTAAGTGAATCTGAGTAATTGTATGAATTTAAAGTGAACAAAGCTGCCATTCATTGGATGCTTTTTGGAATTCAATATTTTCATTCATTTGAACCAAAGTTCTAACAGTTATCTTTCCTAGCAAGCCTCTATAAATATTTTCAGATTTGAAGCATCTTTATTTTTAGTATAATGATGACTCTCAGCTTTGTCCCCTGTTTTTCAAATGAACTCCCAGGTAACAGCACATCTGGAAATCAAGAAAACAGTAAGCTATCATCTATTAGCACTCTGTGAAGGTTTCATTTCCATTATAGTCATCAAAAAATTCACCCATTAATATCTTCCTTTGGTTACCAAATGAGTCTCTCAGAATAATAGCTTCTGGAAGTAGTGTTCAGCTTTTCTACTTATTACATCTAACTTGATGTGATAGGAGTGCAAGGGATGTTCCTTGGTGGCATTCATTTATTTTCTCAGAACACAATCCTTTCAATGTGAATTTGATTAGAATTAATAAGTGTTACTAAGCTTTTTAAATTCTCTTTAAGAAATCAAAAAAGACAATGGTTGCTTAACTTATGTTTTTTGGGGTGTTTTGTTTGTTTCCTAGGAGCTATAAGATAAGATGGCTAATCACCTACCCCTTAAAGCGTTCAGTAAAATTGATTATTATTAGTGTCATCGACCACACAGGGGTAACCAGATAAGGCTGCAAGAGACCTATTCACAGCACAACAATGTGCACTTTGTCACCCAGTGGAATGGGAAGCTCTAAGGCTATTCTATTCAAAATATTGGGGAATACTTTGCTTTTGATGTATGCATTTCCTTAAATCTCTGAAATAAATTAATCTAAAAGCAAACTCCACATTATTCCTTCTTTTAATTTCAGCATTTTTCTTATTTAATAGCATTATCTGGAAACAAATAAATCACATACATGAAATATTATCCACTCCTTTAGTTTGGTTAATCCCAACTTACTAAGGAAATGTTGGTAGTATAATTGGTAGAATAAACACATACACATATACAAAGACTTACTATGGGAGATCTTAATGTATGTAATTTTTTAAAAAACCAGGACGAAGTGGCAAATCTACTGGAGGATTACTAAGTTTACATAATGGTAACTAACCCTAAATAAATATTGCTTTAAATCATGAATCTTCATGAATATCTAGCCAAAATAGGTATGACACAAAAAGGAATATAAAATGCTAATTCCAAGCCAATAATTAGGCTTTTAATTCATTCTATCTTATGGATTAAGTTCCAAATTTCTGTATATTTTCTTTCGTCAACAGAAAAAACCTTGCTTCAACCAGTGTTAAATGCCACAGATTCCAGTCAATACATGAACTCACCAAATTTGTTTCTTATCATTCTAATTCTATCTTATAAATATATACATACACAATTCTATCTTATCAATTGTCCCCCATGCCAGCATTTAAGAAGCAGGTGATTGAGGGAAGAAAGCGAGAACCACGGTAGAGCAAGAAATGTAGAGAAGGGATCAGGAATTGAGGGACCTATGAATAAAATTAAAATGAACTATAAATAAATGTGGGTATTCTAAAATATCTATGGCAATATTGTTAATATTTATTAATATGTTATATAGTTATATAAATATATGTAATTATGAAGTTCCTAAAAGTATTTTCATGACAGCCTAGTGTGGTAGCTCATGCCTGTAATCCCAGCACTTTGAGAGGTCGAAGTGAATAGATCACTTCAAGTCAGGAGTTTGAGACCAGCCTAGCCGACACGGTGAAACTCCATCTCTACTAAAAATACAAAAATTAGCCAGGCGTGGAGGCGGGTGCCTGTAAACTCAGCTACTGGGGTAGCTGAGGCATGAGAATCACTTGAACTCGGGAGGCAGAGGCTGCAGTGAGCCGATATCATGCCATTGTACTCCAGCCTGGGTGACAGAGTGAGACTCTGTCTCTCTCAAAAAAAGAAACATTTTTATAACAATTTATTCACTAAAAGATAAATTTTACCTAATGTGTTAATGTTCTCTTTTAGATAAATATATCGATAATATTTTAATATATAATAAAAACATATTCAATATATTTATAAAGACTATATTGACAAGAATTCTCTATATCCAAAAACATGTTCCTCTGCTCTACAATCTCTCTTTTTCTCCCTTCCTTGGTCTCTAGATACAGCAACATGGATAGGAATCAGAAGCACCTTAAAAACTTTTGAAGATTTTATGTAGAAAAAAGGAAAACTCGTCAACTAAAACTAAAATATTTAAAAGAAACAAGTGAACTGGTCATTGGGTGAATTGACTTTTGGCTAATTGAACTAGAGCCCAGTTCTGCTTAAGCCTGGATCTTCTAAAGAGATGATAGCCAATACTTCATTTGAAGCTAGCTGGAGCCTAGCCATGATAAGTTTACATAGAAAATGGTCTTCCCATCTGTTCCCTATTACACTGTGTCTCAAACATAATCCTCATTTGTATCAGTTTAGCTGTTCAATCTACTTTTCTGCCCAGTTTCTTTCTTGTTATCAACATTTTCAGAAACCCACCGCCCCCTAAGAAATCATGTACATCTAAATCAAATAAACAGAATGCACCCATTAAGCATACAGATCTTTGTTTAGAGATTTAAAATTTGTTTTGTTTAACATTTAAACTTTTCTCATAAGTCATGTTCTATTCCCAGGATGCTGAATATTTGCTTCTTAATGGCCCATTTCATTATTCTGCAGAAATTCTGCTGAATCTTCATTGCACATAATATTTTATTATAGCCATTTGCACATTTATATATATCCATCTTCATTTCTTCATCTCTGAAATTCATGATCAGTACACTGTATCCAATAGCTCTAAAATAAATCCTGTGGGATTCCATTAAAGCAGCTCCTTTTAAACTTAAATACACTATATTAATAAAAACATATTATTTTGATTCAACTAATTTGCATTTGTATTATATTTTTCCCCAAGATTTTAGGTGCCATATATTTTTTAAAGTGCTTGAAAGTGTAATAGCCCATGTATGTCTGTTATAAGAAAAAACCCAGTATGCAGATCAGGGTTTTTTTACAGTACAACCATGATGTTCACAGTAGTGAAAAAAATAAACAAAGTATTTCTACATTATAAATAAGTTCTGCATTTTCACCTAAAATATATTTTATCAATAAATATATGAAATTCATAACTTTAAATATTTCTACTATTCTAATAGAGTTAAATTTTAAAGCACAACTTGATATGTCACATTTTTAATATTGTGTTTTATAAGGTACTTGAAATGTCTATATATCATCAAAGTAGCATAAATATCTTATCAGAGGACTTACAACAACTGTTTGCAAGAAAACGTTACAGAATTTCTTTATCAGAATTATTCAAACTGGACTCCCATTCACTCTTGTGCTTCATTTTTAACAGACTTAAGAGTCAGTGCTTTAAAAAGATCCTGTATTAATGAAATTTTGCTCTAATTAAATAAGTCATTTGTATTTATAAATATTAATAGTTTCTCTATTTAAATTTAATGCCCTTTGGATTGTTAAGTGCACCATGCACCACATCTGTTCACTTTCCAATGTGATAAGTTGCCAGCTTATATTAAAACAATACAAATGGAGTAATACCAGGAAAGGGCATGTGGGGAGGCAAGCAGTAGATATAATTACTTTCATGTAATTTTTAAATCTCTTTGTCAAACGCCTCCTGGAAATTTTGTAGAGATACTTCTTTTCACCTGGGGAACTATTGTTGGACCATGTGTTCATCATGATATGGTGTAAGTCTCTGCTCATAATAACAGAGGCAGAGAGAAAACCACAGACAGGAATAAGAACAAGACCTAAGGCAGGTCTGAACCTACAAATGTAAGATGCTAGGCAGGCTTCCCTCCTCACCAATATTCTTTAAATATTTTGTTCAATCTTTGTTAATGGGAGCAAGTAGAAAACTGATTTTCCATTTATTAAAACTATATACTTCTTTATATTCAAAATAACAGTTCTGTCATATGTACTGAATGCAATATTCCATTTTAACTTACTATATATTTGGAATTAGGTTTCCATAATTGTTTTCCATTGTTCATAAAGTGGATGGCATAGTCACTGAGGCTCATGGTTTACATGAACAGGCATTTACTTGCTTTCAAACTTCTAGAATGGTCAGAATTATGAAATTAAAAAAATAGAATGGCCAATTAAATTTGAATTTCTCAATAAACAGAAAATAATGTTTTGTAGTGGTAAATCCTAACTATTGCCCATCCCATATTTTAATATAAGTATTATATGTCTTAATTTTTGAGACATATTTAGACTTTAGATTCATTGTCTCAAATTCAGATTTAACTGGATATTGTTTGTTTGTTTTTTTAATTTTTCTAGCAACCCCGTCATGCACACTTTTGAACAAAAGAACTCAATTTTAGTTAAACTATGATAGCCAAACGTGATTATGCCCAAAACTCTTCATGAAATATGCATTTTTAAAAGGACGAGTTTCCTGGGCAAAGAATGCTTCTGAGTAGATGCAGCTGGAGTGTCGAGGCTGTTATGTATTCCAGACAGGAGGTGAAGGAGACTCGCACTAAGAAGATAAAAGAAAAGCTAGAGGAAAGCTGATAGAATTATAGAATATGAAAGTGATAAAATCAACAGGGAAGGCTATATGTCTAAACTAAAGGAAGCTAAAGCTTTAGGGTGCTAATGTAACAAGGCTGTTTTCTGGAAAAAACTGGCAGTACCTAACCAGTCCACCTGCATCACTCTAGCCCCCTACTGTCAGTTTTCACATAGTAGCCAAAAGCAAATATGATTTTGTCACTTCCAAGCTTAAAATCCTTCAGTGGCTTCCTATTGTTGTTAGGACACATGAAGATCACTTCTTACGGTGTCCTTGTCTCATTCCCCAGCTACACCTACTACTCTGCTAGCCTTCCAGCCACACTGGCTCCCTTTGTCCCTCAGATATGGTATGGGTCCCTCTGCAGTAGGGCTCCAAATGGGTATAGGGATCTGTTCTCCACACTCCCATTCATTCTTCCAGTCTAATGTTGCATCACTTCCTGTCAGAGGCCATTCCTGACTTCCCTGACTTTATGAAATCCCTCTATTATGTGCTGTCAGCAAACTGGCTGCCTTTCCTCCGTACCACCTGTCAGAGTTGAATTTTCATGTTTATAACGTTTTTAACAGAAAATATCAAAGATATACACAAATAGAAGAGCATGATGAAGCCTCATTTACCCATCTGAGATCCAGTGCTGTGGTCTGAGTGTGTCCCCTCAAATTTATATGTTGAAATCCTAATTCCTCAAGGTGATGATATTAAGAGGTGGCCTCTGGAAATTGATTAGATCATCAGGGCCTAGTAAACAGAACTAGTGCCCTTATAAAGAAGGCCTTAGAGAACTCTTTTGCCCTTTACGCTATGTAAAGACACACTGAAGAGATGACTGTCTATAAACCAGGGCTTTCATCAGAAACCAAATCTACCAGCACCTTGATTTTGGGCTTTCCACTCAGCCTCCAGAACTCTGAGAAGAAAATTCTCATTGTTTCTAAGCCACCTAGTTTATGGTATTTTGTGACAGCAGCATGAAAGGTTTAAGACATCACTGTGGTCTTAATGTTGTGTCCTCCCCAGACTTATATGTTGAAATCTTAACCACCAAGGTAATGGTATCAAGAGGTAGGGCCTTTAGAAGGTGCCTAGGTCCTGAGGCTGAAGCCCTCGCGATTGAGATTAGTGACTTTATACAAGAGATCACAGAGAACTAGGTAGCTCCTTCCACCATGTGAGGACACAGTGAGAAGGTACCATGGATGATGAAGTTGGCCCTCATCAGACACTGAATCTGCTAGTGCCTCCATCTAGGACTTTCCACCTCAAAAATGTGAGAAATAAAGTTTTGTTGTTTATAAGCCACACAGTTTATGGTATTTTGCTATACCAGCTCTAATGGACTAATAATGAAAAACCAGCAATTCACGGTAGTCTTATTTCATTATGCCATCACCCATTCCCCACCCAGATTATTTTGAGACAATTCCCTTTTCATCTCAAATAATTCAACATGTATCTCTAAAAGATAGATACCTTTTTTAAAAAATTTATATCAGAACTGAAATTTTAAATATATTTGCGTGACTATTTGGATTTTTGGATTAATGCCAGTTCCCCCCACTGGATGGCAAATTTCAAGAGGATTGAGATCGCATTTGTCTTTAATTCTCATTGTATCACAACATCTAATAAAATTTTGAGAACATAATGTTTTTTCCAGCATATGAAGAGATGTTTATTAAATTTTTTTATATTTGTTGCTTTATCTTATTCTTTTCAGTCTACATTTTTCATTTATATTATTTCTATTTTTATTATATTTTGCATCTAGAACAGGAATTACTAATATAGAGCAGTGTCAGTTAGTACCTCAGAGGGTTTATTAGCATGCCAGACAAATTTGCCAGTGCTGATCAAATTGTAGCTTAAAAATTTTCCACAAGAGAAGAGTGATAGATGAACATGTAATACAACGTTACCTGAGATGCAGTGGAGTTCAGGAAGACGGTTTCCTCAAGTGCTGAAATAACATACAAAATTTGTGGAGTTCAGGAAGACAGTTTCCTCAAATGCTGAAATAACATACAAAATTTGTGGAGTGAATATTTAAACAAAACACAACCTAACAAAATAGAATAAAAACGTAATGTCCTACACATCATTAATAATTACTTCATAATTTCCAATAGAGACCATGGTTTAACAAGAGCTTTTATGAAAGAGAATGAAGTGTTTTCTCTACATGTGCTTCACTAAAATGTAAAAGCCCACTGCTCACTCCTTGTTTACCTGAAACTGAAGCCTTGTACTCAGTAGACATTCATTAAATATTTGCTGAATGCACAAGTGAATTAATAAGTGAAGTGTCAGTTCTAGCTGCTACAAGACATCATCTAAAGCTTAGGCTGCATTAATAGAATTACAGGCAATAGAACAAGGGAGGAGACAGTCTTTTTCTGCTCTCTATAGCCAAACCACAGCTATAATAAGATTGAGTCGAGTTCCAAATAACAAACTTAAAATGAATTTATAATGCTAGACTATTCAGAGTTCAAGCACAAGGCAGGAAAACCCTGGCCAAAGGTATTACAGGGTGATTAAGAACTTGGGATAAATTATCAGACTAGAAATTTTTAAGATTCCTTCAACTCTTAATCTTTTAAAGATTTTTAAAGATAATGTCAAAAGGGAAACATGTACTTAAATACCTCACAAACCAAATGGCAACGCAGAAAAGACAGTGCCTCATGAAGCCAAGATTAGCTATGTTAAACTACAACACTGTAATTGAGAGGTGACATCGTGCTAGCAGCCCTCGCTCGCTCTCAGCACCTCTTTAGGCCACAGCGTCCACTCTGGCAGTGCTTGAGGAGCCCCTCAGCCCGCTGCTGCGCTGTGGGAGCCCCCTTCTGGGCTGGCTGAGGCCGGAGCCGGCTCCCTCTGCTTGCAGGGAGGTGTGGAGGGAGAGGCACGGGCGGGAGCTGGGGCTGCGCGCCGCGCTCGCGAGCCAGCGCCAGTTCCGGGTGGGCGCAGGCTCAGCGGGGCTTAGCACCGGGGCCAGCAGCTGTGGAGGGTGCGCCGGGTCCCCCAGCACTGCCAGCCCGCCCGCGCCGCGCTTTAATTCTCAACAGGCCTCAGCCGCCTACCCCCAGGGGAGGGCTCAGGACCTGCAGCCCGCCATGCCCAAGCCCCGCCCCCCGCCACTGCGGCGGGCTCCCGGGCAGCCGGGCCTCCGTGACGTGCGCCGCCCCATGTTTGGCAGCACCCGGTTCCATTGACCGCCCAAGGGGTGAGGAGTGCGGGAGCGCGCGCGCGCGCGCGTGGGACTGGCGGGCAGCTCCGCCCGCGTCCCCGCGGCGGGATCCACTACGTGAAGCCAGCTGGGCTCCTGAGTCAGGTAAGGACTTGGAGAACTTTTATGTCTAGCTGGAGGATTCTAAATGCACCGATCAGCACTCTGGGTCTAGCTCAGGGTTTAAGGATGTACCAACCAGCACTCTGTATCTAGCTAATCTGGTGGGGACTTGGAGAACCTTTATGTCTAGCTAAAGGATTGTAAACACACCAATCAACACTCTGGGTCTAGCTCAAGGTTTTTAAACGCACCAATCAGCACCCTGTATCTAGCTCAAAGTTTGTAAACGCACCAATCAGTGCTCTGTGTCTAGTTAATTTTGTGGGGACTTGGAGAACTTTTACATCTAGCTAGAGGATTGTAAATACACCAGTCAGCACTCTGTGTCTAGTTCAAGGATTGTAAACGCACCAATCGGCACCGTATCAAAACAGACCAATCAGCTCTCTGTAAAGTGGACCAATCAGCTCTCTGTAAAATGGGACAATCAGCAGGATGTGGGTGGGGTTAGATAAGGCAATAAAAGCACGCTGCCCGAGCCAGTGGCGGCAACCTGCTCTGGTCCCCTTCCACGTTGTGGAAGCTTTGTTCTTTCCTTCTTTGCAATAAATCTTGCTGCTTCTCACTCTTGGAGTCTGCACTGCCTTTATGAACTGTAACACTCACTGTGAAGGGCTGCAGCTTCACTCCTGAGGCCAGTGGGACCAGGAACTCACCAGGAGGAATGAACAACTCCGGAGGCACCGCCTTGGGAGCTGTAACACTCACCGCAAAGGTCTGCAGCTTTACTCCTGAAACCAGCCAGACCACGAACCCACCAGAAGGAACAAACTCCGAACACGTCCGAACATCAGAAGGAACAAACTCAGGACACACCATCTTTAAGAACTGTAACACTCACTGTGAGGGTCTGCGGCTTCATTCTTGAAGTCAGTGAGACCAAGAACCCACCAATTTAGGACACATAATGATGCAATTTTATTTTATTTTCACGTGTACCTTTTAGAAAGAAATTTAGACTTACAGATAATTGTGATTAATAAAAAGAGTAATAAAAACAAGAAAATTTCAAATGTAAATAGAAGAGGGATTTTAAGATTTAAAAGGTAATCTAGTTTTTTTTTGTTTTTTTTTTTGAGACAGAGTCTCACTCTGTCACCCAGGCTGGAGTGCAGTGGCATGATCTCGGCTCACTGCAAGCTCCGCCTCCTGGGTTCACGCCATTCTGCCTCAGCCTCGCGAGTAGCTGGGACTACAGGCACCTGCCACCACTCCCGGCTAATTTTTTTTTTTTTTTTTTTTTTTGTATTTTTAGTAGAGACAGGATTTCACTGTGTTAGCCAGGATGGTCTTGATCTCCCGACCTCATGATCCACCTGCCTCGGTCTCCAAGAGTGCTGGGATTACAGGCTTGAGCCACGGCGACCGGCCTAGATTAATTCTTTATGAAAGTTCATGAAAGTGTATTTTTAGCCTCTCACTAAACACTTGCAGGACTGAGAAATACATTCTCGAAAGAAGTAACAATCCATTTTGAGATGTGTTCTAGTTATTGGAAATTATTTTATGTTAAGTTAAATTTTTCTTCCCCATCATTTCCACCTTTTACTCTAGTCCTATCCTCCAGAACTTCTCAAAATGAATCCAGACTTTCCTACACATATGAATCTTTAAATAATCAAAAAGAGCTATCAAGTTCCTCATACTTTTCTTCTCCAAATGAAACATTCTCAGCCCTTGCAGGCAGCTTCTCATGTCGTGATTTACAGTGAGCAGCAATGTTCTCACTGTTTGTACTAGAACATTCTTCAATATGATTAAAAGACCTCCAAAAGTGAGCTTTCCAGAAGAAAACACAGTACACTAGTGAGGTCTTCCCAGTGCAGAGTAGAGAAGCCCCATCCTAACCTCACTTCTATTAATGCAAGAGCACAGGACACCATTGGCTTGTATTGAGCTTATTAACAGTGAAAGCTAAAATCCTCTCACTAGTTAATGTGAATTAGTATGTTAACAAGCAGTGGCATTGTCTAGCAAACAAGCAAAATTTGTATGTAAATACTATGAAGTTCCTAGATATCCTTTTGGGAAATAAACATAGTATAACTCAATCAATAAATAATGGGGATTAGATTTTCTTATTCCCACTTTATAAATGGGAAAACGAAACACCTTAAATGACATGTTCAGACTTATAACCGAGGAGCAACAAAAATTAGCCTAGAGCTACCCAAGCCTGATGCATTGCATATTGTGCTATACCATGCTACCCTCTAGTAAGTATTTTCCATCATTTTTACGTAGAGCAGTATTTATAACAAAGTTCTTAAAAATAGTAATATAGAGAGTAATAAATAAATGGAAATGTATATTCTTCATTGCTTTTTATCTCCCTCTGTACATTTAAAAATATGTGAACAAAAGGTTTGTGGTTGTTTAGTACTTTTGAACGAGAGGTTTTTCTTAAAATATTTTTGAAAAACTACTTTTAATTCAAGCTGACAGGTAATTTTTCTTTAGGGCCTAGAATCATGAGCATAGCATTTTATACTAAGACTTGAGACAGTAAACAAAATAAGAATTATGTGCTTAAACCAAAACTTAAGAACTATGGATTCAAAATTTATTAGCATGGACCTAAAAGCCATTTTAAAAATTGAAAATGATACAGTTTTCATCAGCTTTTCAGTTCCTGTCCAGCAGTGAATTGAACAAATCCATTAGAGCTACAAACATAATTTCAGCAGAGAGAGTTCAGATGGGATCCTGCCTAAAAGAATGTAGCTGATTCTCCGGAAGCACCAAGGAGGTCCTTAAACTGGGGTACCTAAAGATACTTAATATGTGTAATTTATGTTACATCACTCAGTAGCCCTGGTGAATATTTTCTTCCTTTTATTTCCAGAGACAAGTAGATGCATCTGCAATTAATTGTTTCCACAAATTGCTGTGATATATCATAGAACGTCACAAGGGCTATTTAACTGAGAAGTGCATTTTCTCTAAATTCACTGGGCGTTCTGAATGTCTTTCCAGTACAGCTTGGGGAAGATAAGGTGAAAGTTTGTCATCTGCAACTACTAATTATCTGCCAAGAATGGGGACATCCTGGTCTGACTACATCAGGGAAATGATCACAGCTGTACAAACAATGCTCATTTGGTAACATGGCCAACTACAACAACTAAATCTCCCATCTTTCCTGGTGGTAAACACTCTTCATGACCATATGAAGGTCTGCCCTGTTATCTTGTTATAATTTACTGCAATCTCTTGCCTCTTGCTTTCTGGAGCCTCATTAGGCCCCGTTTGGCTGGAATCACACCCTACAACCTGAGAAAGTTTTCCCGTATAAGATATTCATTAGATCATGGAACAAAATGTTTCCTTCATTCAAGGACAATTAAGAGAGAATTTCTCTTCTCCTCTTGGGAAATTCAATCACTTATCTTTCATCTAAAGACATGAGGCTTGCAGCAACTGCAGCAATTCATTTATTACTTATTTTCAATCTATTGTGGATTATTATGAAATCATGAAAATAGCACCAGGTTTAAAGATTTGCTATTGAATCTAGGCAATGCCATTTATTAGGGCATTACTTCTCTGAGTTTGAGTTTCCTCACAGGAAATAATGAGATGTCCATCTCCAAAAGGTATATTGATGATAAAATTAGGCAAAATATGTGAAAACCCCTGGCCCAATACCTACCATTTAGTAGGGATGCTACATTCTTGTAAAATCATAAGCAAATGATTCAAATAGTATGATACTTTTCTTACCCAGATACATAATTATTTAGACAAAGACTGTTCTCTAAGCCCCAACTGTATTGTATGAATGCATCAAACAAATAAAAATCGTTAAACAGGGATGCAAGATATATTATGGTAACAGAGGTGATAAAATCTCTACAAAGTAAATTAAATGTGTGCTGCTAACTACACTTTACATATTGACAGCATCATTAAAAAAAATAACCCAGGAGTATTATTACGGCACAGATTTTATTTTCATAACAGCCGACAGCTTTATTTTCAAAGTGATATGCTTTACATTCTTAGTTTTCTAATTTCATGTCAGAAATAAAGACTGAAAATCTGTAGTAATCAAAAAGACTTCTGTGGAATTTCACACATGTATGTCACAGAAATCTGAAATTTGATTCGGAGAAACTCTCTCAGCTCTTGCTCCCTCTTCCACACACCATTCTTTCCTTAGTGGTAACCCTTACCATAATTGGTTCTTGATAGATATAAAACAGCACAACAAGATTAAATTTTTGAAAAGTTGGCTATATTTTGAATATAGAAATGGAATGTTTTTGAAGTCAAGAAATGTCTGCTTTAGCTTTCTCCAAGTGTTAAGATTTTCTGCAATTATGCCACTAAGGAGAACTGGTTGAAAATGTTTAGATAACTTTTAGATAATGCTCATTTATTCACTTCAATTAATAAAGCTTCTATTGCAACAATACAGTGACGACTTTAAAAAATGTGACTATAGGGTTTATGTAATTAGATCCATAGATATCTTTTAGCACTTCTGTAACACAGTAATTTCTAGAAGCTGACACTAAGTTCATGGATAGAATATGTTTCATGAGAGAATATAAATGAAGGCAGTTCTTGGGCCTAGTTTTATCAGTTTTCAGAGAAGTCACAAACTCCTCTTGACAGTGGACCATTTAATAGAAATGTAATATATAGATAATAATAATACATAATATATGTAAAACACAATATAAGAATAACCTTCTTTGCATATACGTTTATATAAAAGAAGACTAGTTTGGAGGACCTTTTACGGATCAAAGCACATTTATTAAAAAAACATTTTGTCAAGGTTGGGGGAAAATTTTGCATTATTTCCATAAACTGTCTTCAGGATAAATTATCATCTTTCTGAAAAAATATAAGCAAAAACTACTGAAAACTTCCACATCTCCTACAGGTCAAACATGAAGTTTGATACCTGCTAGGATTTATATTTTAAAGAGTCCAGGATGATTTTCTCAAATACTCTTACACCTTTTGATAAGTGTGAGGGTGACAGGAAACTGAAATCCTAAGGAGACCTAGAATGTGTTAGCTCTGAGAAACTTCCAATGCAAACCCTGTTATGTCATTAATCTGATCTTCTAAGCCATCAGGAAACCCAAATTACCATAATCCAGTCAAATTACCACAAAACAATGATGCTTTCACTCAAATTTAAGAGTAATTTTTTTGACCCCTACAGTGTCATTACCTCTTTCACTATATGCTACCTAGAGAGTTGTATCACTTACAAAAAGAGTCTACAACCTGTTGACAACTGACTTTGCTGAAAACTGACTTTGACGAAAACTGACTTTGACACATCCAGTGTACGTTAACAGCTCCTCACCACAATGAGTCTTTCTTTCTCTCCTTCTTAACATATTTCAGCTTAAATAATGCAACTATATGCAGTCTACTTTCTTGTAATTTACTGTAACTCATATGTATCTCATTCTTATGTGTAATTTGATGCAGTTATTTGCTGTCTGTAGTTTCCTCACCGTGCTATGCCTTTTCCTCAAATTTTAGTACACCCTTATTTTCTATTACACGCCATCAAAACATCCACAGGGAAGAATGACATCACACGTCTCTCATATTCAAGGGAAATGAGTTGGTGAAGATGATTTACTGAAACTCATGATAGGTTTGAATACCATTTTATTGTATCTGTTGACATAATATTTTTAGCATTATATTTTATTCATTATTAAAAGCTTTATCATAACAGTTTGGAACAATTTTCTGTTGCAATGAAAGGTTTTGATAGTAAAATTGATGAATCGTGTTTCATGTCTGCTCAAATTTTATAAAAAGAAATAGAATCCATTTAAAATCCCCTTCTGGAAAATTTCTTATTTCTAACAATAGCATGATTTTCCAGACTCTGGATTTTTTTTCCATTTACTAGGTTGTTTCTTTTAGGGAACTCTTACATCTGGCCATTTCAATTTTTGTTAGTTCAAATAACAAAAATGTAGTTTGATATAGCAAATTTTGGTCACATGCAACTGGAAAATTTGAAAGGAAGAAAACAAAAATCAGCATTTCATGATGATATCCATGAAGATATTTTTCTTTTAGTTATGTAAAGCCCAGGGTATAACTAAAACCCAAATCAAAAAAAAAATCTATTTGTAAGTATTTTAATAACAAACCTCCATAATATGCCCAGTAGACAATATAGATTATTGGGAACAATTAACATCTCTTGAAACATTTATATAGATCATTCAATTTCCCAGGATGTTATAAAATCATATAAATATAAATATAAATATAAATGCTCCTGTTATAAAATGAGCATATATAAAAACATATGAACATATATAAATTGTATTTTTATATATACATCAATAATAAGGGTAATGGGGAATGCCATTATTTCCCTCTCCCTTATTTTTCTTTAGTTTCTCCTGTGTTCAAATATTTCTGATGTTGTCTTTGAGTTATAGATGCATATATTTCCAACTACCAATGCTTTTGAATAACAAATTTAGAAAATGAATAAACAAATGTGTGAACCCATACATACAAACTTGAGGGCCAAAACATTGTTTAAAGTAGTAAAAAAATGACCCCAGCTGTCATCTAGACTTGAGAATCTCAAGTTCATCAGATTACTTGAAGAATTTTTTTTCCTCCTCCACTCAGTAAAAGGCACACAAGGATTAGGTAGACCAAGGTGGGCAGACATTATCTGTGAAGGTCCAGTAGTGAATATTTTAGGATGCGTAGGCTACAAACAGTTTGTCAAATAATTTTGTGTTTGTTTGAACTCTTTAAATATTTAAAACAACATTCTTGTTTTGTTTTGTTTTAGAAGGGGTTGTATTAACAGCACAAAAGCAGTTTTCTTATAAATTATAGAAATTTGTAATGCTCTTGATAATTATTAAACATTTTACTTTTTAAAAGAGGAGAAAATAAATTTTATTTTCAAATTTATTTTTGAACAGCGTTATTAAGATATAATTGATATACAAATAACTAAGCATATTAAGTATGTACAGTTTGAAGGGTGGACATATGCATCCACCTGTGAAACCATCACCATAATCAAGGTAACAGACATATCCATCACCTCCAAAAGTTTCCTTGCATCTTTTTTTATTGGTGGTAAGAACATTTTATGTAAGATCTATACTCTTAACTGGTTTTTGTATTATTATACGTAAGTTCTGGAATACATGTGAAGAACATATGGGTTTGTTATAGGTATACACACACCATGGTGGTTTACCGCACCCATCAACCTGTCATCTACATTAGGTATTTCTCCTAATGCTGTCCCTTCTCTAGCCACTCACCCACTGACAGGCCCTGATGTGTGATGTTCCCCTCCCTGTGCCCATATGTTCTCATTGTTCAATTCCCATTTATGAGTGAGAACATGTGGTGTTTGGTTTTCTGTTTCTGTATTAGTTTGCTGAGAATAATGGTTTTCAGCTTCATCCATGTCCCTGTAAAGGACATGAACTCATCCTTTTTTATGGCTGCATAGTATTCCATGGTGTATATATGCCACATTTTCTTTATCCAATCTATCATTGATTGGCATTTGGGTTGGTTCCAAGTCTTTGCTATTGTGAATAGTGCTGCAATAAACATGCCTGTGCGTGTGAAACACCATTCTTAGCTGACACTTGTATAAAAATAGTCCTTGGCCTACTTTGTCCAGCAGACATTATTTTGTGAAACTCTGAGGACAATGCTAAGATACTTTGGAGCTGTTTCTTTCTCCCTCAAGGCTGCCTCACCCTAGAACGGCGCATTAATTCTCTAGAAGCTTGGTGTCCTGACTTGATCCTCTCTCTGACAATCTAGTGGGAGATTAAGCTAAAATTCCCAGTAGCTCCTCTCTGAAATGCCCCCTGAGCAGCATTCTGTAAGCTGTGGCTATGAGACGGACATGGAAATGATGACAACTTGTAAAAGCCAGTGTCGCATGGCCAAGGCTATTTCTTTGTCTCAGCAGCTGGCCAGCTCAATTATAATTAATCAGAACCTTTTATGCTCACTGAATTCATCATCTGTTAACACTTATTCAGGCACACCTATTTGTTAGGGCACTAAGTCAAAATCCCAGATCATGGCACTAAGGAAATCTACCTAAAAGGATGTTCTAGAAGCCTCACACTCACCCACCTAAGACTACCTCTTCCCTAAACTAATCCTAAAAATGCTTGGTTTGAATATGAAAACTTAGGGAGATTTTGTCAAAATAGTACTCAACATAATGTCAACAACTGATAATTTATGACTTTGCAAGAAATAATATCATAACATTGTATTTGTATCAGATTAACAGAAAGTTGTATTTAATTTAAACTATCTTTAATGTAATTTTACACCTTCTTAGATTATTTCTTTTGAAGCATGGTCATCAAATGTTACGAAGAAGGTCACATGCTGTTAAGATCAGAGCAATAGCATCTAGATAAAAAAAAAAAAAGCAATAAAAAAACCCTACTTCTTTCTGAAATTTCACTTCCCTTGTTATGGCAAACATACTTGGTTTTTACCTCAAATTATTAGTTTCCAAGCCTACAAAGAAATCCTTTTGTGCTGAAATTCCTGGCAGCTGGTCTAAAATGGTGCTAACAACAAGTGTTAATGATGTTAGAAAATACCAGATTCTTTCTTCAAACATAAGACACAATGTGCTTCACAAGTCTCTCCAGTTATATGTTAGCAAAATTCTTCATCATGTCTCTTTGCTTTTTTACTACATAATCAATTAATCAATGTTTCATTTATGGAGCCCTCAGTATTGTACTAGGCCAGGAAATTTCAACCCTGACTTTTGCATTTGCATCTCCTCTAGGAATCTTCCAATATTATATAGATTTCAGGGCTCTGTGCTAGATTTCCTGTGGAGTATAACTTTGTCATATTTTTATAATTACTTTCATATATGATTCTGATATGCATGTGGGATTGAGAAACTCTGTGCTTGGCCTTGTGGGAACACAGAAGGGCAAATAAAAGAGACTAGTTAGGAATAACCTAATAAATGTTAGTCTTTTGATGAGTTATTGTGTTATAATTTAATTCTCATTACTATTCTATAAAGGATTCAATTTTTCTCCTAGTATCAAAAATTATCCAGGAAAACAAAATTGCTTTTAATATGAAGTCATATCTCCCAAAGCCCATAACCTTTCCATTAGGCAAAGAAGCAAGCCCGCAGCTAAATTGAGGCAATGAAGCAATCAGCAACTACCAGAATCCTTTTGGCTTGATCCTTGCCCAGATCATGGGGTGCCTAGTGTCTTGGTTGCTACACTGGCTCCACTCAGCTGCAAGTACTTAAGAACATAACTTGCAGATTCAAGTCCACCCAGGGTTAATTTGTTCCTGCCTGACTAAGCCTTACAGAAGTAAAGAAAGTCTTATTCTCTAAGTGAGGTATAAAATACATTTTTTTCTCTCAAGCTTGGTATGTCTGGAAGAAGGCTCATAACACCTTTGATTATAAATATTAAATAAGATATTCTTTGTAAAATATCCAGCAAAGCGCTTGACATAGATAAGTATTTTAACGGACATACCCTTCCTCTTCCTACTACCCTCTACCCTGAAGAGGAAAAATACAAAACAAAACAAAAATACTTTGAGGCTTGCTGAATGCCAGACCATTAGACTGAGACACTGATGCCTTATTTACTTCCACAGGCTGGTGTCCTGTCCTATATGTATGACCGCAATCATCAGTTCTGTCTTGAAATTCCAACTACTGCATCACAGCCCAGGATTAGCTTCCCTATATGAATATTAACCACTACGATAGAGCCTGGTTAGCCTCTCTTCCTTGCGTATAATGATTTAAATGTTTGGCTATTTATTTGCAGAGCTATCCTATAGGATTAGAAGCCTTGCCCTGACCCTAACCACCCATCTTTCTCATGTAACTTTTCCTAGTCACATTATGCCACACTTCCATGTTTTGGATTTTGTAAATTATAAAGCTATGAAAAGAAGGAAAACTCCTGATTTGTTTACATTTTTACCAACTTCCTTTAAAGGTCAAGATAAAATATCCATTTTATAGAACACTGGCATGAACTGGCATTAGTACTACTCAATGCTGGATCTGATATTAATGCTTCATGTTCAACATGTATGGTAAGAAAAATAAAATTTGAAAAAACAGGCTTTTTTTCTTTTCTTTTTTTTTTTTTGCTTAAAATGTTTTCCAGACCCCAAATTCCAGTGAAACAGCTGATGCCAACCAGTCTGAAGACCTCTTTACAGAGGAAAAAATCAGCATGAGAAAACAGTTTCTTCAGCCTTCTATCCTATGACTTCACCCTACTCTTCAACCAATCAATGATTTCCACTCTTCAACCAAGTCTAAAACCCCTAAAACCCCTCTCTCCAAACTCCTTGAGGAGATGGAGTTGAGGTTTCCTCTGTATCCTCATCCAGCATCCCTACAATTAATCTTTTCTCTGCTGTTGTCTCTACATGTTGATTTCCCATGTGCTTCAGGCAAGGAACCTCTTAAGGTTACAAAATGAGTATGAAAATCAGTGTAGAGGAAGTCACAGAGGAAAAAAAAAACACTAGGTTGTTGTATGATGTAGTCTAGGGAGAGAATGTGGAGAAGAAAAAAATGTCTCAAAATGGATACTTTCAGGTGTTCCACCATTAATGATTAGTAGAAGAGGAGCCAGTAGTGGAATCTAGAAGGCAAGGCTATTTAATAGGAGAATTAAAAAGTGAGAGAAGTGAATAACAGAAACTAAATGAAAAAGTTGTTTTGGGATGGAAGGATGAGCTAACTCTCAGATATGAGAAGCTTCAAGAAGGAAGCCTTCATATAAGGAAAAATGATGTTACATAAATGATCACAGTCTTTTTCCTTTCTTCTCTTTTTCCTTCTTCTTTAAATTAGAATTTCAGAGCTCATTCTCAGAAATTTTAATTCAAAATGTCTGCAGCAGGATCTCCAGACCACAGATGATTCTTATTCAAGTGATCTGAACGCCACTTTTAGAAACATTGTCAGAGAATTATTAGAAAATAAATTGTTCCTTGCAAGGAAAAAAACATGAAAAAAAAACCCATTAATTTTCTCTAATCCCTAGGCCATTCATCTGCTTGTTAAATTTTCTAGAATTCCATGGAAAAGATAACCCAACAGAAAATAGAAAAGAGGAGTCAACCCTTGGTGTTCACCTTTTAAAAGTTTTATTCTCTGATATAAAAGAAAGGATCTCAAATGTATGGACAAAGAGAGAGTAAAACATTTGATGAGTAAAAGCAAGTCTTCCTATTTGTAAGAATAGAATAGACTTTCTAGGGTAAGTGAGAAGGAAAGCAGAGAGGGTGCAATTTTTGAGGGCTGAGATGAGGAAACCAGACCTGAAAGTACCATGTGGTGTGGTAGGAAATTGAGATAGCATTCACTATTTCCAGCCCTTACTCCAGTGAGCACATTCTGTTGCTAGCCACCAAGAACTGTGTGCAAACCCAGTTAGGACCAACAGGCCATCTAGCCTTCCTTTAAGAATATCATTTATTATCTATGCCATGTATCATCTGAACTTCCAATTGTGATTCACCAAAGCTCTTCCTCTGACAATGGCAACATACTAACAAGTATCCTGTGACTTTCTGATGGGAGTGATGCTCTGTGGCCTTGAAGTTCATTGGTACCTGCTCTGACTGGTCTCAGACAACCTCCAATTTGACAACCCTGGGAATTTTTAGCTCTTGAAGACTAAAGGAAGGCTATGGAAATCCATAAATGAGGCTGTAAGAAAGGAAAAGCTACCCACACATGCCTGAGAGGAATTAAGTGGAATTAGCTAGAAACTTAGAGTCCCCCAATCTGGGAGAGTACAAAAGCTGTCCACTGCATATTCAATTACACCATTTAATCATTCAACACATATTTATTGAGTTCTCACAATCCAGCAGACACTGTTCTGATCTACTCAGAGTGAGATGAGAAGCCATAGGTGATCCCTGAGCAGACAACTAACAAGGTTGGCCTTACTTTAAGTGAGATTTTCCTGCACTCTATGTTGAAACAAAAACAAAGGCAGGGCTAGGACCAGCTGTTTGGATATCGTCACCATCCAACCAAGAGATGATTGAGCTTTGACCACGGTGGCAAAGCTCACTATCTCTATTAGGTATAGAGAGGTTGTTGGATACTGGATTTTTGCAGGATGGTAAATATTAATGAAATGAGGGAGGCTAAATAGGTATGAGAGGAGTTGGCAAGACAAGTTAGATCTAAGCAGACAGGCTTAGGATGTTCTAGCTGCCTTCAGCCTTGGCACAGAAATTGCCTAGCCCATTTCCTTGGGGTCTTTGACCAAAAAACAATCTCTTCACCTTTTCCCAACTATCTGGACTCATGATAATTGAACAGATCACTCTCATTTTTATCTATGCAGGGTCCTATATCCTAAAGAAAAGAGCCATGAGTGAACAAATATGTAGATATAAATGCTAGAATGTGTCGTACTGACTGTGTGAGAGAAGCAAAGAATTTAAAGAAAGTTTGAACATGATAATCAAGTGTTTCATGGGAAAAGTGATCTTGGTCAGGGTTACGAAGGAAGCATAATTTATGAGGCGGGGGAGGAGGAGAAGTTCTGTAGTTGCTCAACAGACAGACTAAAACCTCTGAGGCATGAATGGCTAGGGCAAGTTCACTGGACAATCTGCCCTGCCTTAAGATACAAAATCTTATATGACTTTAGAAGAGTAAATTTAAGGAGAGTAGGAAATGGGGCTTTTAATGGGCAAATCTTCAAGAGAGAATATAAACATTTCTGTCAAAGGTATATAAATTGGAAAATAAATCTATCAAACACATATACTCAAGAGACACATATAAAGCTATTGTTTCTTACAATTTCTGAAGAGGTACAGTGGATTAGGCTACAGAATTAAGGGACTTAGTTTCTATAATTAAAAGAATATGCTTATTCAATTGTTTATCAAAGGTGACATTATACAAAACAATGAAGGATACATCACTTGTAATTTGTTAAGCCACTGTTAATACTACCCTGCTAGACACTTTACATGTGATGAGAAAATTGAGTCTATATGAGATTAAATAACTTGTCCAGGATATAAATCTTAGATTCTAACCTAGCTCTGTCTTAGGATATTTTTCATTGTTAATGCTTTTCCCAACAGGCCTGGGTCTGTCAGCATTTATGTAAGATCTTGTTCTCCAGTTTTATTTGCTGCTTTAAAAAATAGATAAATGGACTTATCCTTTCAACTGGAAAAAAAAACAAATAAGGACCTCTCCCTTAAAAACAAACAAACAGAAAGAACACATATATTACATAACAATAGACACTAGACATTGGGTATGAACAGACATCAGGCAACATTCCCTAGGAAATGATAAACAAACAAAGTGAGCCATATGATTATCCTAGCTTACTGTCTTGAGAGAGTTTTTAGGCAATGGCTCAAGTTTGGAAAATTTATTGAGTTGAAGGTGCAGAGTTGAGATTCCAGGGAGGCAAAGGAGAAGGTAGGGATCATAGGACCGACTATCAGAGAAGAGGAAACTGCACACAGAAAGAACTCCAGAATCCTGAGGAGGAAACAGTAGCCAGCACACATACATGTCTGGGAATTGTGATGTTCTAATTATTCAGACCGCAAAACCTCACAAGCCACAAGGCATTAGGTAGATTACAAAGAGGATATTGTCTCAGTGTTAGGAAATAACGAACCTTAGACTGAGTAGTGCTCTGGTCCCATTGAACAATAGGTAAAAACAAGATGTGACAGGATGAAACTGCTTTTAAGTAACATAAATGAGTCTCAGAAAAACTTAAGAAAATGTATAGGCATACAAAAATATCTAGCACCCAACATGGTAAAATTCACAATGAAGGACATTCAATATGACATGCAAGGAAAGTAGGACAATGTGACCCAAAATGAAGAAAAAAAGCTCAATTAATTGAAAACTAATAAGAACTGATAGAAATGTTAGAATTAGCAGACAAGAATATTGAAATAGTAAGTATAATTGTACTCCAAAGGATCAAAAATTTAAAGAGTCCTGAAAGGTAAAAAAAATGCAAATATAAATTCTAGATATAAGTTGTAATAACTACAATATATGAGATGGTAAATATAATGACTGAAATAAAGACAGAGTAGATGTTGCCAAAAAATGAATAGTGTACATGAAGATATAACTATAGAAACTATATAAAATAAAACTCAAAGAGTTAAAAGGCCTCAGAAAGCTGTGCAGTAACTTTAAGCAGCTTAATATACTTAATGTGAAAGAGATATGAGAAAGAGTTGCAGAACAAATATTTAACAAAATAATATGCATTTTTTCCCAAATTTCATGAAAGCTGTAAATCCACAGATCCGAATAATACAAGAAAGCTCAAGTGCAGAAATACAAAGAAAACTAATTAAAGACACATTCTAATTAGACAGCAAAAGTCAGTGAAAAAAAAAATTACTAAAGTTTCTGGGAAAACAAAAGACACATGATCTACAGATGAATAAATAGCAGATAAATGATAGCAGAGTTCTTACCAGACAAAGATATAAAAAGTCAGTAGAACAACATTTTAAAAATACTGAAATAAAAGAATCTACAAACCAAGAATTCAATGTCTAGTAAAAATACCTTTCAAAAATAAATGTAAAATAAGGTTGTAATTATTAGATGTATAACAGCTTAACAAATTTATTATCAGCACACCTACACTACAAGGAATATTAAGGGCAATCATCCTAGAGGAAGGAAATTGACACCAAATCAAATATGGATCTACCCAAAGGAAAGAAGAACATGAGAAATGGTAGCCCATCAGTAAAAATATAAGAGTTTATAGTTTTATTTAAATATCTATATTTAAATATTTTTATGTAATTTTTAAAAATATTTTTATGTAAATATAAAATATTTTTATTTAAATATTTTATTTTTTTATTTAAATATTTTTATTTAAATATTTTTATGTAAATATATTTTTATTTAAATATCTTTAAAATATTATTCGCTGTTTATAAACAAAAAGATGTAAATAGTGTGGAACTTTTAACATGAAAGTAAAACATTCAGGAGAGGAAAAATTTTAGTGTACTATTTTAAGGTTCTTACCTAATGTTAGTACAGTGTCACTTATCGTTAGACTGTGATAGATAACTATAAATCAGAAAACGTCAGGTAAAATAAAAAGAGAGAGAGAAAATGACAATAAGTCAATGAGAGAAAAATGAGACCCTAAAATATTTAATCTAAAAGGAGAACAGGAAGAATGGAAAAAAACCCAAAAACCTATAGAGACAAATATTTTTTAAAAAGCAATATTTATACCTAATTATTTGGATAAATCACACTAAATATAAATAGTGTCTATGTACAAATTAAAGAGGAGGTTATATTGAATAAAAATAGCAAAACTCAACTACATGCTGTCTACAAAAATGTATTACAAATATAAAGTAACAAATACGTTAAAAGAGTATTATAAAAAAACATACTGTACTAACACTAATAAAAAGAAAACAATGGTGACTACATTAACAACAAAGTAGATTTCAAAACAGAGTATTACTAAGAACCAAAAATAAGGTAACATGGAATTAATAAAAAGGTCAATTCAAAAAGATAACATGCCAATCCTAAATGCTTTCTGGAGCTTCAAATTATGTAAAGAAACACTGATAGAACTTCAACAAGAAATGAACAAACAAATAAATACAGGCCAGGATTTTAATACCTCTTTCTCAATAATTGATGGGAAAAGTAGGCAGAAAATCAGTACAAATATAAAAGATGTGAGGAACAGTACCCACCAAGTTGATCTAAATAAACTTTTTGGAATATTATCCCCAAAGACAGTAGAATACAGATTCCTTACTAGCGCACAAAAAATTTACCATGACAGACCATATTCTGGGTCATAAAATAATTCACAATACAAAGAATGTTCTCTGACCACAGTGAAATTATTAATATAATAGACTATCAATAACAAAAAGAAAAAACAAAAGTATATCAAAATTTAAAAAAACCATTCTTCTAAAAACTCATAAGTCAAAGACAATATCAACAGAGAAACTGAAATGCATTTTAGCTTAATGAAAATTAAAATACAACACATTCGTTTTGGTATGCCAGTAAAGTATTATTAGGGTGTATTTATAACAATAAATACTTACAGTGGCAAAAGCAAGACCTCTCAAATAAATAACCTTTGTTTTCACCTTAAGAAACTAGAAAAATAAGTCCTGAAAGTCCTAGCCAGAGTAATTAGGCAAGGAAAAAGATAAAAAGCATTCAAATTGAAAAGGAAGAAGTTAAATTGTACCTGTTTGCAGATGGCATGTTCTTCTATAAAGAAGACCCTAAAGACTGCATTAAAAAACTGTTAGAAGTAATAAATGAATTTAAAAAGTTGCCAAATACAAAGTCAACATCCCCAAATCAACAGCGTTTCTATAAACAAATAGCAAACTATCTGAAAATTCAATCAAGAAAATAATTTGATTTAAAATAGCTACAAAAATATAATCCCTATCAAAATATCAACGTCATTTTTTTCAAAGAAATAGAAAAACAATCCTGAAACTCATATGTAACCAAAAAGCTCACAAATAGCCAAAGCAATGTATAACAAAAAGGTGGGGGCATCACATTACTAGGCATCAAAATATGCTACAAAGCTATAGTAACCAAAACAGCATAATATTGGCATTAAACCAACATATAGAACAATAGAATAGAATAGAAAACACAGAAACAAATCCGTGCATTTACAGCCAACTGATTTTGGACAAAGTAGTCAAGAACACAAAATGGGGAAAGAAGAATCTCTTCAATAAATGGCTTTAGGAAAACTGAATACCAACATGCAGAGAATGAAATTGGACCATACAAAAATAAACTCAAAATGGATTAAAAACTTTAATGTAAGTCCTGAAGCTGTAAAAATACTGGTAGAAAATACAAGGGGAAAGTTCCGTGGTATTGGCCTGAACGATAATATTTTTGGATATGACCCCGAAAGCACAGGCCACAATAGCCAAAATAGATAAATGGGATTACACCAAACTATAAAGCTTCTGTTCAGCAAAAGAAACAGTCATCAGTGAAAAGACAACTTGCAAAATGAGAGAAAATATTTGTAAACCATATATTGTATAATGAGTTAACATTCAAAATATATAAGGAACTAAAACAATTCAATAGCAAGAACACAACTTGTTTTTGTTTGTTTGTTTTTTGTGAGACAAAGTCTCGCTCTGTCGCTCAGACTGGAGTGCAGTGGCGCTATCTTGGCTCACTGCAAACTCTGCCTCCCGGGTTCACGCCATTCTCCTGCCTCAGCCTCCCGAGCAGCTGGGACTACAGGCGCCCACCACCACGCCCCGCTAAGTTTTTGTATTTTTAGTAGAGACAGGGTTTCCTCGCGTTAGCCAGGATGGTCTCAATCTCCTGACCTTGTGATCCGCCCGCCTCAGCCTCCCAAAGTGCTGGGATTACAGGCACGAGCCACTGCTCCAGGCCACAACTTGATTTTCAAAATGAGCAAAGACCTGAATAGACATTTTTCAAAAGAAGACATACAAATGGCCAAGAAGTATATGAAAAGATGCTTAACATCACTAATCACCAGAGAAATGCAAATTAAAACCACATTGAGAAAGGACCTCACACCTATTAAAATGGCCATTATCAAAAAGAAAAAAGTAAATGTTGGTGAGGTTGTGGAGAAAAGAGAACCTTTGCACACCGTTGGTGGGAATGTAAATTAGTATAGCTATTATGGAAAATGGAAAGGAGGCTTCTCAAAAAATTAAAAATGGACTTTTTCTATTATCCAGCAATTCCAGCAATCCCACCACTGGGTATGTATATCCAAAGGAAATAAAATGAGTATGTTAAAGAGATATCTGTACTCTCATACTTATTTCAGCATTATTCACAATATTAGGACATGAAATCTACTTAAGTGTCCATCAGTCGATTAAAGAATAAAGAAAATGTGGTATCTATACATAATGGAATACTATTCAGCTATCAAAAAAGAGTAAAATTTTGTCATTTAAAACAACATTGATAAACCTGGAGGACATTATATCAAGCGAAATAAACTAGGCACAAAAAGACAAATACTGCATGATCTCACCCATAAGTAGAATCTAAAAATGTTGATCTTACAGAAGCAGAGAATAGAATGGTGGTTACCAGGGACTGGGGCAATGGTGTGATATGGGGCTGTGAAGATATTGGTAGAAGGTTACAAAACTTCATTTAGATAGGAGGAATAAGTTCTACTGTACAACATGGTGACTGTAGTAAATAATGATATACTGTGATCTTGAAATATGTTTAAGAGACTATATTTTAAGTGTCCTTACCACAAAAAAATGACAACTTTTTGAGGTAATACATATGTTAATAAGCTTGATTTAGTCATTCCACAATGTGTATATATATATATATTTCAAAACAACATGTTATACATGATAAACATATACAATTTTATGTCAATTAAAAAAATTAGGCCAGTCATGGTGGCTCACTTTCAGAGGCTGAGGCAGGTGATCACTTGAGCCCAAGTATTAGAGATCAGCCTGGGCAACATGTTGAAACCCTGTCTCTACAAAAAAAAAAAAAAAAAAAAAAAATTAAATTAGCCAGATGTGATGGTGTATGCCTGTGTTCCCATCCGCTCAGGAGGCTGAGGTAGTGGTGTTGCAAGTGGGCCAGTTCAGGTTCTTGATTTGGCTGCACAAAATAATTTGAGAGTGTGTCCAAAGTGAAAGTCATTAAAGACGTTTATTGCAAAGTGGAAGTGCACTCTGAGAGCTGATCAGAGCAGGCTGCTCAAAGCAGGTGCAACTGGTGAGACAGCACCATATGGCACTGAAGAACATCCCTTTATGGGAATTTTACATGATGATTCACAAAGGGATGGGAAAGGGTGTTGCTATTCAGCATGTTATTGGTGGTTTCTTAAACCTGCATGCAGAGTGGCTGTACGTGCTAGTATATACATCACATGTCTCATTAGCATCTAAAATCTCCACCGTGGGTGTGTTTTTACTATTATAATGAGCACAGGTCAGCCCAAGGACACTAATCGTAGGTTTCTGCACTTGCAAAAATTTGGGAATTTTTCCTTCTGCTCTTCTACTTCTTTGCTGCAGAACATTCTAACCATGAGTCCATGATGCTGTTTGTACGTTATTGGGCAGTTTGTTTTATCCATCCATTTGGCATGTGTTTTCCCCTTTAAGTAAGGCTGTATGACCACTCTGTCCAATCTACCTCAGGAGGATCACTTGAACCTGGAAGGTTGAGGCTGCAGCACACCATTATCACACGACAACACTCCAACCTGGCCAACAGAGCAATACTCTTGTTTAAAGAAAATAAATAAATAAAAATTCAAAAAGAAACTATTAAAATAAAAATAAGACTCAACGTAAGGAGAGTTGAAATAATAAATATTTGAAAATAAACCAGTAAAATAGAACTCAAAAAATAATAGAGAAAATCAATGAAACCCATTACAGAAAATTAATAAAATTGTTAATCCTTTATTTAGATTGGCTGGAAAAAGAAACACAAATTATCAATTTATTTTCCAGTGGCACTAAAAGCTTAATAGGGAGACATTATGAACAATAGGGAGATATTATTGGAACAATAAATTTAGTAACTTAAACAAAATCGACCAACTTATTGAAAGATACCAACTACTAAAGGTTACTCATGGAGAAATAGGTATACTGAACACCCTCATATCTCTTTTTAAAAAATGACCTTGCATTTAAAAGCCATTACAGAGAGAAAACTTGAGAAACAAATGGCTTCACTAGTGATTTCTATCAGACATTCAAACAAAAAACCATACCAATGCTACAAAAATTGTTCCAGAAAATAAAAATACAGAAAATACTTCCCAATTCTTATGGGACTAGAATTAATGTACTACCAAAACGATATAGATATTACAAGAAAAGAAAAAAAAGACCGTATGTCTCATGAACAGAAATTTTTAAAAAAGCCCTAAACAATACTTTAGCAAGTTGAATACAATATGAATAATAAAGACAATATATCAGAGTCAGCAATGCAAGGTTGGCCTAACATTAAATAATCAATCAGTATAATTCATCATTTTAACAATCTAAAAAATACTTAAGAATATCTCAATAGATGCAGCACAATCATTTGACAAAATCCAGTACTCACTGGACAGACTTTTGTCACAAACAATTTTCTGCTCTGTGGGCCCAGCAGACCTTGTCCCAGGCCATTGTGTGTTCTCCAAGTCCACTTATTTCCTCCTAAAATTCATTTTGTGTTTCTCAAATTGCCACATTTTCCCCATTTCCCCTTCTGCCATGAAGAAGGGTACATAAACATCTATATTCCACTGGGAAGTTGGGTAATTGTTCTCCTGTGTACTTCTGTGCTGTGAACATTAAAATAAAATGTATATGTCTTTTTCCTGTTAATCTGCATTTTGTCAGTTGATGTTTAGCAAACCTTCAAAGGATGAAGGGGAAGTTTTCATGTGGCCGTATAGTTTGCACAGGGAAAAAATGTACTGTGTAAGTATTGGTATTATCTGTAGGTTTGGGCATACACTGGAGGTCTTAGAATGTATCCCCCATGAATAAGAGGGAATTATTGTATCTTGAGTGAATATTGTCAGGCTTGAAACAAAATGATCATTCAGGTGCTGTAATATTGTAAGGAAGTTTTCTCACAGCAGTATAGGATCCTTATTCTGAAATTATGTATATACCAGAATTCAACAAATAAGTAAAGATAATATAGATAATGAGAGTCAGGTTTCTCACTGCTAGAAAAAAATTATAAATAGGAAAAGGTGAAGGCTAAAATGAACTATAAAGAACTGCATTGGAATGACAGGCATCAGTGTAAACTTTTAGTTTTATATATATATTATACCATATGTGTATAATTATTTTATTTTATTTTATTTTATTTTATTTTATTTTATTTATTTACATGGAGTCTTGCTCTGTTGCCCAGGCTGGAGTGCAATGGCATGATCTCAGCTCACTGCAACCTTTGTCTCCCAGAGTCAAGCAATTCTCCAGCCTCAGCCTCCCAAGTAGCTGAGATTACAGGCATGTGCCACCACACCCAGCTAATTTTTGTATTTTTAGTAGAGACAGGATTTAGCCATGTTGGCCAGGCTGGTCTCGAACTCCTGACCTCAGATGATCTGCCAGCCTTGGCCTCTCAATGTGCTGGGATTATATTTTACATAATATATAAGTCAGAGTTAATATGTAAGAAAGTTAGTAAACATTCATATATTCCTTAGCTCTGGTAACTAAGCGGGCATAACAGCAATGACACTACAATAGCACTGAACACACAGTTGAAAGTCATGCTGATTCAGACTGCACCCAGGTAGGCCAGACTACAAACCACAGATTGGGTACTGATTTGCTCTCAACGTCTCTCATTTTACTTGAACAAGTGGATTAGTCAGGACATCTTCTCATAATGAAAGCAAAAGCAGAAGAGAGAATATATACTCCATAAAGACATTAAGAGCCTGATTTGTATGACATCTGTTAGCACTACATTGACCAAGGCAACTTGGGTCTCAATGTCAAGGGACAGAAAATTACACTCTTCCCATTGTGGTAGGAGCTGCAACATCACACGGAAAAGGGCTTGAACACAGAAAGGTTTTTAAACAATTGGGACAAATAATTCAATGTACTACAAAATCATTTCTTGGGGGGTATTTTTGGAATCCTTTGAAAGGAGTAATTCTAAAAGTCAGTAAATGCATAGAATTCCTGCCCAGGAATATATCTACTTGTATGAGGTATAACCTGAGATTTTGAAAGTAGAAGTACAGTCTTCGTGCTAATGAAAATTACATCCTAACTTGAGGTCTATTGAAATACAAGATATCCAGGAAAAAGAAAAAAAGATTGTGTTGCTTTACCTGGAGGTTGCCAACCATTAAAAAAATATCGTATTGCTTTACCTGGAGGTTGCCAACCATTAAAATATTTCCAAATGGCGTAACATGAGATAATAGAATCTATGTGAAGCTGTTATTTGGTAACTCCCAAGGAGTGTGATGGTGGCACACCACTATTTGGCGTATATAAATTCCTAATTTATACACCATTAGGATTTTTTTCTCCTTCGGTCAAAAGAAAATGCTAATGGCTAAGACTATTAGATTCTAACATGACACCAAACTATCATGAAAACTAGGGTTAAGATAATATGTTTCACACCACGTAACAACAATTTTACTTTGAAGCAAATTACCTGGCAGAGGACTGCTCATGGATTTGTCTATATCAAACAGAGAGATATGACTATTCCAAATGTATAAAGTATTCTGTGCCCCAGAGCAAGCAAATTTATCAGTAGTACCTAAAGATAGCTTGGAAGAGTAGATCAGAAAGAAAGTTAAGTAATTCAAATAGTTTAAAAAAAAACACCTTTTCTATAGAAAAATAAATGCAAATGTATGATGGAGAAGCAAAATTAGCACCACTTTTCATCACATGTAAATGTAGCATGATATAAATTGCAAAGTTCAGTGAGAGGAAATTGAACTTCAGAATTTACCCTGAGACTTCTTGGGTAAAATTTATTCACTAGCCTTTGACAATACTTCAGTAAAAATGTTTGCATGTTACTTTGTAAAGTCTATCAATATAAAGGAATTGGAAACTTTACCAATAAGTATTGAGGTTTCATATATATATATATTATATATATATATTATATATATAATATATATATATAATATATATATATTATATATATAATATATATATAATATATATATATACACATACATGTGGTTCAGTCATTTTTAGCATGCCTGCAGAACTATGCAAATATAATCACTAACTAATTGTAGAAGATTTTCTATAGTTTCATAAAGGGACCCTATACTCATTAGCAGTCACTCTTCATTGTCCCTCCCCAAGCTTCTGGCAACCACTAATCTACTTTCTGTATTGGTTGGCCTATTCTGGATACTGTATATATACATACAACATGTGTTCTACCTTGACTGGCTTCCTTTACTTTACCTAATGTTTTCAAGACTCATGTATTTTATAACATAACACTTCATTCCTTTTTATTGCCAAATATATTCTGCTGCATGGAAATGCTACATTTTTTTTTGTCTACTCATCAGATGATGTACTACATTTGCAGTTTCCATTTTTTTGTTATTATGAATATGCTGCTATATATATTCATAAAAATGTCTTATGGGAAGTATAATTGCTAGGTCTATGGTAACTATATAATATTTTAAGAAAATATAAAATTGTTTTTCACAGGAGCTGTAGAATTTTGCAATCCCACCAGCTTTTTGATTATTCTGATTCCCCTATATTCTTGAAAACACTTTTTATAATCTGACAATTTTTTTAAATTGTCATATTAAAGACAGAGTTTCACTCTGTCACTCAAGCTGGAGTGCCGTGGTCAATCATAGCTTACTGCCACCTCAAACTCCTGGGCTAATGTGATTCTTCCACCTCGGCTTCCCAAGTAGCTGAGACAAAAAGCATGCATCACCACACCTGGCTAATTTTTAAGATTTTTTTTTTATAGAGATCGGAGTCTTATCATGTTACCCAGGCTGGTATCGAACTCCTGGCCTCATGCAATCCTCCTGCCTCAGCCTTCCAAAGTGCTGAGATTACAAACATGAACACCCATGCCCAGCCTCATCTGACAATTTTTTTAAAGTTATACTCATTTTAGTGGGTTTTATGGGTATATCATTATGATTTTTTTTTGCCTTTCTGTAATGATTATTATGTTGACTATCCTTTTTATGTGTCTTTTGACCATTTATGTATCTTCCTTGCTGGAATGTACAATTAGATCTTTTGTCAAATTGATACAAGAATCTAATCAGATATATAATTTGCCAATATTTCCTCCAATTCTGGGGCTCGTTTTTTACTGTACTGATGGCAACTTCTGAGGCAAAAAATAAAAAAGTTTAAATTTTAAAGAAATCCAATCTATTTTTCTCTTGGTGGTTTTGACATAATATTTAAGAAATAATTGACTTACTAAAAGTCATAAAAATTTACTCCTGAGCTTTTTTCTAACAGGAATTTTTGTGTTTTATCTCTTACCTGTAGATCTATGACTTATTTTCATTTAATTATTTTAAATGGTTTTGGGGAAAGGTCCTATTTTTCATTTGCACATTGATATTCCATTGTCCCATCACTATTTTTTTTAAAGATTTTTATTTCCCCAACTGAATTTCCTCTGCCCTTTTTAAAAAATGAATTTATTTTATCATTATAAATACAAGTTATTAACTTTTAATCTATTGATTTATATAGCTATCCTCATGCTAGCACCATGATGTCTGATTACTGTAGCTTTGTAGATAGACTTGAAATAAGAGTGTATTTCCTCCTTTGTTTTCCTTTTTCATAATTGTTTTTGCCTCTTTTGGGTTCCTTGTATTTCAACATAAATTTTAAAGTCAGTTTGTCCATTTCTGAAAGAAGAAATCTGAGACTTTGATAAAGATTGTGTTGAATCTGTATATCGATTTGGAGAATATTCCTATCTTAAAAATATTAAATATTCCATCTGTGAATATCAAGTGTCTTTCCATTTATTCATCTCCTTTAATTTCTGTCAACATAGTTTTTGTTGTTTCTAGTGTACAAATCTGATATTTCTTTTGTTATTTCTATGTATTGTGTTCTTTTTGTGGCAAATGTAAATTAACTTTTTTATTAATTTAATTTTAAAAATTCTTTTTGCTGGTGTATAAAAACACAGTTGATCTTTTTATATTGATGTTTTATCCTGCACCCTTACTAAAAATCACTTATTAATTCCAACAAATTGTAGTAGAGCCTTTAGATTTTCTATGTACTAAATCTAGGTTTTCTAAGTATAGATTGCTTTATTTACTCTTTTCCAACATGATTTTTCTTGTTTTTTTCTTGCTTAATTGTTTATCTAGACCCTCCAGTACAGTACTGAACACAAGAGGTAAGAACAGACATATGTGTCTGCTTTTTTATCTTAAGGGAAAAACATTCTGTCATTCAGCTAATATGATATTAAGTGGGCTTTTTTCTTATGCTTTGCTTAGGTTGGGAGAGCTGCCCTCTATTTCTAGTTGGCTGAGTGTTTCTATCATGAAATGAAATTGCATTTGTCACATGACATTCTATTAAGATTATCATGTACTTGTTGTCTGATTTTTGAACATTAAACCAACCTTGCCTTCCTGGGGTGAATTCCACTTGGTCTTGGTGTTCAATCCTCTTTGTTAGTTGTTGTATTCAGTTTGCTGGTATATAATTGGGATTTTTTGCATCATACTTATAAGGAAAATTGTTTTTTGTTTTCTTTTTGTGTGATGACTCTCTGGTTTGAGTATCAGAGTTACTTGACCCATAAATGAGTTTGAAGTGTTCCCTCCTCTTCTAATTTTTAAAAAGTCTTTGAAGTATTGGTATAAATTTTTCAAACATGTGGTAGAATCTACCAATAAAGCCATCTACCCAGTAACTTTTTTGAGAGTGGTTGTTGATTATGAATTAAATCTCTGTTTTCTTATGAATAAATTCAGATTTTCTATTCCTTACTGAGTGAGTTTTGGTAGTTTGTACCTTTCTAGAAATCCATTCAAATGAATAAAATTACTAAGGTAGGAATTGCATTTGCTATTTTGCTATTCATTTTCTCTATGTCTATGTCTTATTCATTGTTGCTCTCTTTTCTTAATTACCATATTTTTGTACTAAATAGATATCTTTAGTGTTTCAAGGGCCATTTTAATTAATATTTTTTCTTTAATATTTACTTTTAAAATTTTTGTCAGTGGTTTCTTTGGTAATTATAATGAAATTAATACAATATACTTTGAATTAACATCATCTGAATTGATATTAAAATTTCAATAATATAGGAAATATTAATTTTAATATTAATTAATATTTAAATAATATATGAAAACTTTGCTCCAATATATATGAAAACTTTGCTCCAGTATAAGCTTCCTAACAATACCCTAATTGTGCTTAACAATACCCTACTTGTGCTATTATTATTATGCAGGCTGCATTATTATATAAATTCACCACCATAATGTTACAATTGGTTATATACACAGGTGGATTTTAAATAAGATATAAGAAAAGTTTTACAAACAAAAATTTATTTATACTAACTATATATTATGTATTTATATATACCAGATATAAATACTATATAAAAATATAAGTATATTTACTTATAGGTACCTTTTCTGGTACCCTTTATTACTTTATATTGATTCAAGTTACTGTTATATTGATTCAGGTTACTTTTTAATGTTCTTTCATTCAGACTGAATGACTCCTTTTAGGATTGTTTTGTAGGTTCCCTAGAGACAAGTTCTTCAATTTTTGTTTATCTGAGAATATCTTAATTTCTACATTTTTAAAGAGAGTTTAGCTGTATGTAGAATTCTTGATTGACATTTTTCTCTTTTAGCACTTTAAATATATTATTCCATTTCCCTCTGCACTCAGTAATATCTAACAGAAAGTCAGCTATTAACTTATTAAGAATCCCATGTACATGATAAGTCACTTTTTCTTTCTCCATTCAAGATTCTCTCTCTGTCTTTATCATTTGAAAGCTTTAGTATGTGTATACGTGTGGTTGTCTTTGAGATTATCTTACTTGAACTTAGCTGATCTTGGATGTATAAATTGATATTTTATCAAATTTGGGAATTATCAGCCACAATTTTTTCAAACATTCCCTCTGTTCTATCATCTCCTCTTCATCTTGGAATAAATTACATGTGTTAATATATTGGTACAATTAACAAAGTTCCACAGGTCCTCTGAGGACTTGTTCATTTTCATCATTCTGTTGTCTTTCTGGCTCTCAGATAAGATAATCTCATTTGATTTATGTTAAATTATGTTGATTTTTTTCCTTTGGCCACTTAAATCGGTTGTTGAACTCCTCTAGTGAAAATTTCATCTTAGTTATTATCCTTTTCAACTCTACAATTTCTATTTTGTTTTTATAATTTCTTTCTTTTTATTGATATCCTATATTTGTCAATACATGTCCTCACACTTTAACTTTTTACACATGGGTAATGGGATTGACCCACCAATCCCATTACTGGGTATATACCCAAAGGATTATAAATCATTCTGCTATAAAGATACATGCACACACATGTTTATTGCAGCACTGTTCACAATAGCAAAGATGTGGAACAAACCCAAATGACTATCAATGATAGACTGGATAATGAAAATGTGGCACATATATACCATGGAATACTATGAGGCCATAAAACATGATGAGTTCATGTCCTTTGCAGGGAATGGATGAAGCTGGAAATCATCATTCTCAGCAAACTAACACAGGAACAGAAAACCAAACACCACATTTTCTCACTCATAAGTGGGAGTTGAATAATGAGAACACATGGACACAGGGAGGAGAAAAAAAAGTGTAAAAGTGTAAAAGTGTAAAAAAAGTGTAAAAAAACTTTTTACACTTTTTACACATGTTTGTCTTTTAGTGGATAAACAGATTTATCCACTAAAACTAGCACCTGATTTTTCTAAAGAAAAGTCTCTATTGACCATGCTCTCCCTGCCATGTAGACCATGCTTTTATGTTTTTTTTTTTGCATGTGTAATTTTTTTCTGTCAATGGAAAATGACTTTAAATAATATAAACCAAGTTTGGAAATCAAATCCCCTTCTACGCATAGTTTGATTTTGTTGATATTCATTATTGTTGGTGGTTTTATTGCTACTGCTTTTTTATTTGTTAGTAATTTTCTTTACTAATTATATATTTATATTCCTTGCTGTGTAAACACTGTAAGCTCTGCTCAGGCATTTTGGCAGTCACCTAATATTTGACAATAAAATTTATCTTCCTAATTGCTTTGAACAAGTAATTCTCCCACTTTTGGCTGACAAGCACTGCTTATGTGCTGAGCCGTTTAATACCCCAGTGGTTTCAATTCTGCCTTAAAAACTTCACTCTCTACTTGGCCAGGACCTTAGGGTCAACTAGAGGCATGAGATTATGGTTTTCCCAGGTATTTTCTAGGCATGAATACAGTCCTGTATATGTGCATAGCTTTTTAGTTTTCCAGAACTGTATGGCAACTTTTTAAAACCTACTGTAGATATAAATTTAATAAATGTTATATATTTTAGACCTCATTGTATATAGTCATTTTATCTTTAACATAACTTTGGAAAAAGAAAGATCCTAAAAATTATTTTTCAATATATTACAATGGTTTTCTATTATTTTTAGATAATAAGTGATTTTGATTATTTTTATAATACATTTGATTATTTAAAATAATAAATGCATCTATCTGTCACTAAAACTGAATTTCAAAATTATAACTGCTTGAGAAAGCAGAGGATGTTAAAAGTAAATATATGCTCATATTAAATATTTAAGAGTGATAATTCAAACACTAGCAAAATAAACTAATATTCAAATGCAGTTGAAGAAAAATACCTTTTCACTCAAAAGTTACGACTATACCTACAGAAATTCTACTTCTAAAATAAAACAAATTGGAAAATGTGACAGACTGAGCTCACAGTGACATATGTTATTGATAACATTTGGCATCTTTTGTATTTAGTCTATGTGTATTATTAACAGGTTATTTTTCATGTTTTATTTTACTTCTCAGTAGGTAAAAAGACATGAAAACTGGTAAAACATTAATATGCTCATTTTCCTATCAAAATTAATACATATTTTAAATATTTTTAATTTTAGAGTAAAATGATGTTTTTAAAAAGTTGTAAAATATAGTAAAGAGAGTTCGTATATACCCTTTACCCAGTTTCTCCTGCTATTCACACATCAAAATACTATGGAATATTTGTCACCATTAATGAACCAATATTGATACTTTATTATTAGCTAAAGGTCAGAATTTATTCTAATTTCTTTAATTTTGGCCTAATTCCTTTCTCTGTTTTAGGATTCCAATAAAGCTATTACATTTCAATTAGTCATCCTGTCTCTCCTGGCTTTTCTTGGTGTGAGAGTTTCTCATAATTCCTTGTTTTTAATGGCCATGACAGTTTTAATGAATATTGATTATGTATTTTGCAGACTATCAATTGGAATTGATCTGATTTTTTGTTTGTAATAGACTGGAATTGTAAATTATAAGGAAGATCAACAATGTGTGGTGCCATTTCATCATACTAGTGAAGAGTACATATGATCAACATGTATTACCACTGTTGATATTACATTTGATTAACTGGCCAAGTTAGTTTTTATCAGGTGATGCATGTGTTCTTAATTGATTGTACCTTTAAAAAAATTATCAGGGTTTTCTTTTGTAAATTTTGCTTTATAATCACTTCCTTTTCCTTGTGTTGCAAAGAAGTCAGAAACCACATTTCCAAAATTTCCTTTCCTTCTGTGATTCCAGGTATGAGTTTTCAATAAAATGTCTTCAATGATATTTCAAAGGTTGAAGAAAAGGAAATGTTCTCATTCTTTCAAAGCAAGCAGTAGCATGGGTAGCTAGCCAATGTGAAATTTGAAGTACTTGTATTAGGACTGCAAATGACAGAGTTCCTTCGACCTCACAGAAATCCTTGAGATTTGCATAGACTTCTTTTCAACTCTTTAGAATCAAAGCTTTGTTACTGCAGATAGAGATAGGTAATGGCTTTCCCACCCTTCCTTATCATGACCTTCCAGTGATTTTGCACACCATTATTTTCCTGTATAAAAGCCCTTCCTACTTGCAATACAAGGAGTGACTTCCATTTTCCTGATCAACCCTTACTGACATATCGGTTTTATATCTTTTAGCATTCTAAGTTTTCCTTAAATTCTTTTTCATCATACTTAATGATACCATTTTAGGAATTACCTAAAACAAATAATTTAAGTTTCCCTTTACGTTCATTTTGTTTATATACTGCATTCTGTATAATATTACTTTGGACACATCTTGGCGTTTTTATCTACAGAGTGAGATCTAGTCTATTTAATTACATTTATTCACTTAAAATTTTAGATTGTCCTTGCCACTTTATTTTATATTTTGTTATTAACATGTTTTTAATGACTTTTTTGAAATGTTTAACATTATTTTGTTTTTCCCCTATTCATTTAAAATTACATATTCTCTATTCTTCTAGTAGTTATGCTAAAACTTGGCAAAAATATTATAATTACATGCTCTTTCACCTTTAATATTCTATATCAATTTTGACAAGACAAGAACTCTGATGTGTGTTTATCTCCTTTCCCTTCCTTCACTTATTTCATCACTCATATTAAAATTTCTTTTTTACCACATTTACACTACCATTCTAAAAAATCATTTTATACAATTATATTGAATTTCAGAGGTTTATGATCAATCATTTTTAGACAAATATGCATCTTATGACATGTTATAATACCTTTTTGTGTGTGTTTCACTTCATTTGTTCTTATTTAATTTGCTTTCCTAGAATGTGTCCTGAAATAATATTTGTTCTGTCTTTTCTGCAATCTTCTTTCTTCCCCTCCTTTCTCTTATTTCTAACATTGGGTATATCGGCTTATTATCTCTGAATCTTTGCTTTTTAAAAATTTTTTTATTATATTTCAAGTTCTGGGATACATGTGCAGAATGTGCAGGTTTGTTACATAGGTATACATGTGCCATAGTGGTTTGCTGCACCCATCAACCCGTCACCTACACTAGGTATTTATCCTAATGCTATCCCTCCTCTTGCCCCCCACCCCCTGACAGGTCCTGGTGTGCAATGTTCCCCTCCCTGTGTCCATGTGTTCTCATTATTCAACTCCCACTTATGAGTGAGAAAATGTGGTGTTTGGTTTTCTGTTCCTGTGTTAGTTTGCTGAGAATGATGGTTTCCAGCTTCATCCATTCCCTGCAAAGGACATGAACTCATCCTGTTTTATGGCCTCATAGTATTCCATGGTATATATGTGCCACATTTTCTTTATCCAGTCTATCATTGATAGTTATTTGGGTTTGTTCCACGTCTTTGCTATTGTGAACAGTGCTGCAAAAAACATACTTGTACATGTATCTTTATAGCAGAATGATTTATAATCCTTTGGGTATATACCCAGTAATGGGATTGGTGGGTCAAATGGTATTTCTGGTTCTAGATCCTTGAGGAATTGCTACACTGTCATCCACAATGGTTGAACTAATTTACACTCCCCTCAATAGTGTAAAAACATTCCTGTTTTTCGACATCCTCTCCAGGATTTGTTGTTTCCTGAATTTTGCTCTTTTGTCTGCATGATAGTCAAGTTGGACATAGGTTCAAATCTTCTCCCTTAAAATTTAGTATAAATTATGCCGTTATCTCCCAGAATTTAGAATCAAGGTCAGAATTTTAATTATAGTTATTTATATTCTTTGTAGATTATATTTCTTCCCTTGTCCTCATTCTCTTTCTCTTTCATACTCTCTTTCTCTATCTTTCACATATGCTGCATCTCTATTTTCTTTACCTTCTGGCTGATTTTCTATCCTTCATACTCTGGATTTTGAATTCAGTCTTCGGTTATGCCTATACAACTCTGCAGTACCACTATTAATGTATTTAACTTCCAGCAGTGATGTTTGATTTCTGAGATTTCCTTATTATTTTATTTTTAATGCAAAATCTTAATCTTGAACTTTTTGTTTATACAGTCACTTGTATTTCATTCTTTCTCTCTTTTAATCCACAAGATGCTTCTCTATTTTTTTATTTTTCCCAAATATCTAATGATGTTTCATTGTCTAAGCATAATTACAAATTGTTGCTGATGTAGAATCCTGTGGCAATTTTAAAATGAGTCTTTGTTCATGGAATCTCATCCCTCAAATGGATAATTTTCTAGAGCTAATTGTGCAGGATGTTCAAACTGGCCAACTTCCTTTCAGAATGAGGTGGGAGAACATATGCAAATTTATGGTTTATTTTGTAATAGAAGGAAAAAAGTCTTCTTGGTTTATATTGCACCCTTTCCTCCACTCTGTGTGTACGATGGAAGTTCAATAAATAATTCTGCTTGCATTCTCTGTGTGGTCCTGACATTATCATCAAATGTCTCCATTTCCAACACTTTCTGGGCTGGTGAATCTCAAACTTGACTGCAAATTGAAAACATCTGGGGAGCTTTAACAATTATTGCTGCCTGTATCCCACCCACAGAGGTGATTATTCATTCATAGCTATGACTGAAAATCAATGTTCACAGATCACTCAGTTTTTATTTTTCAGTTATTTTATGCATTCTGCTGCTGTTTTTACATAAGGCAGACAATATTTTAGATTAGCGTGCAGCTCAGCTGGCCTGAAGTTTTTTGGTAATTCTGGTAATTTGGTAATTCTCACAGCTTTCCTGTTACTCCTGAGAGTCTCAATGCTAGCTGTACATTAAAATGATCCAAGGAGAGTTTAAGTCGTATCTGCATTAGACCAATTCAGTCAGATCTTTAGGGATAAAGAAAAGTGATCGGCTGCTAAAAGTTCTCCAAGTGAGTCTATTGCTAAGCTAAGAATAACAGTGCTTGTATTACAGTGCCCTAGGACAGGGCTTCTCAAACTTACATTGTGCATGAGAATCACCTGGAGATTTTGTAAAAAATGCATTCAGATTACTTAGGTGCACCGTGGGGCCTGAGAATTTCCATTCTAACAAACTCTCTGGCTATGTCAATGCTGCTGGTCTGCTGACCACTATGAGAGCAAGTCCTTAGGACTTAATCGAGGAGAAAACGTTTTATGCCAGTAGTTTTGTTTTATTGTCATTAATCTGAAGCCCAACTGCTATATATTGCCCCAAATTCCCTAAACTTTTTGTGTTTAGGGAACATTTCCCCCATGTTTTTTAGTTCTATGGCTTTATTATTTATTTTCATTAAAAAACCAAAACGAAAACTCTTCTATCTTTTTAATTGCATTTGGGAAGGGGAGAAGGCAAATGTCTGTGTTTGGTTGGTCAACCATTTTGAAATAGAACACACATTTTTTAAGATAAATATCCACTTTCCTTCCTAAATAATCTTTCAAAACATATGTGTGTTACAGTAGGAAGTCAGTCAGACATGAGCAGGGCGGGAGAGGGCCCCTACCAAGGAATGACAGGCAATCATTAGGTGATAGGAGGCAGTTGTTAAAACTATCTCTGTAAAATAATAATTGGTTGCAGCCAGTGCCAGGGAAAAGCCGTCTCCCAATACACAGAAAAAAACCCTGAACCTGGTGATCAGCAGCTTCCTGATAAGATCTCAGGAGTTGGGCGAGTGGGCTCAAGCATGCACACACACTAAGAGGAAAATTGATGGTGTTCAACTGTCATATGACATTCTGGGAACATTTGACTCGTAAGGTAAGAACACCTCAAGTGAGCATGTCTACACTCCAGTAAACACCTGTGCATGTGACCCCTCCCAAGTGTTGGCAGGCCACTGTGCATGCTGACCGCCCACCCCAAGGAAGAATCAGGGGAGAAGATGCAGACCCTGGAAGAATGCCAAAGTATAAAACTCCAAGTCAAAAGTCAGACTGTGCACTTGATCTCTCAAGTTGCCATTTGGCCCTCTTCTAAGTGTACTTCCTTTATTCCTGCTCTAAACATTTTAATAAACGTTCACTCCTGCTCTAAAACTTGCCTCAGTCTCTCACCCTACCTTGTGCCCCTAGGTTGAATTGTTTCTTCTGAGGAGGCAAGAATTGAGGTTGCTACAGACCCATATGGATTCCCAGCTCCTAACATACTTTGGTGCCGTGTGACTCAGATACATTCCCTAGTGGTAACATGTACTTGTCTACAAAATTTTTAAGAGTCTTAAATAGTATTTTTAAATAGTGACTATTAGCATAAAGGTGAGAGGCTTAGAGAGCCAAGAAAGGGTAATGTGTCCATAAGAAAAAAAAAGAGATAGAAAAGACATATCTATGGGTATTATCTTACATATTAAATACTTAATTACTGTTCTAAAGTGTCCACGAAATGTTCCTACTACATAAAATAAAGTAGTGTATATATACACATTACACTAATGAGCTAATTCAGTAAAGAAATCAGAGTATTATTTCTACCTCCTGGGGATGTTTTATTTGCAAATTAGATGTACTCGGTTAAAATAAAATGGAATACATTAATTGATATAGATGTCTGTACAACTTAGAATGTGGTTGTAAAATAAATTTGTGGAGGAATACCTAAATCTTTTGAGATAAAGATGATGATCTCAGTATTATTTGTTAATAAAGTAAAAAAAAAGTTAAAAAGCACAGTAACCTTTAAATAATATTTTCCTTTGGCAAGGCATTAGTTTTTCAGTTTAGAGAGCATGTCGTCAACTGTCAACAGAGCAAGACGGAATTGATGTGATACTCCATTATGGACCCAAAGACATGATGGATCACAACTTCATGCATCATTATGACATTTGCCATGGAAGCCTGGATTTCTTGGCTCATATAACAGACGTCAGACTTCCTATCAAATGTATCTCTGCCATGTGCAAAAGAAGAGGCACACATTGCATCTTCCTTAACCATTTTTTCTGACCCTGAACAGCCTATTTGTCCAACTGCCCACCTAAAGACAGAATTCTTGTTCTAATAATTGGAACTTCTGGCTGACCCTCCATCTTCCAATTGCCTCATTTGAGTGATAACTAATTAATATGCCAGGAACTAGTCTTACTGATTTTATATTCTTAGACATGGAAGGGATCTTAGCATGCATTAATTTCATGGTTTTCAACCTGGACTCTGAGGGGCTCTGAGAAGTCCTCTCTGAGGCTATTGGCCATTGGGGAGGATGGCTAAGCAGACAGTGCTCTGGGTCCCATTCCTAATTCATCAAGACTGCTCAGCTCTTGGGGTTCCATGGACTACTCTAGTTGAGCAAAGAAGTTCATGCCTTGTATTCTAGTTCATGTCCCTAATTTTACATCGAGGCCTAGAAACTTAAAATAATATTTTCCATCTGGCTTTATTACTAAGTGACAGAGTAGAATTCATATTTTGAGAGTCCAAGAATAGCTTTCTTTCTAAGAACTGGTGATTTCTACATTTAATTCCCTATCTGACTCACCTGGGGAATCCATCGAAACTCAGATTTATGACTCTTACTTCAGACCTACTGAGTCAGGATTCTTGGGTGTCATTCCTAAGAATCTGCATTTTAAAAAAATCTTTCTTGAAGATTCGGATTAATTGTAAGTTTGGCCAGGCATGGTGGCTCACACCTGTAATCCTAGCACTTTGGGAGGCCAAGGTGGGCGGATCACAAGGTCAAGAGTTCGAAACCAGCCTGGCCAACATGGTGAAACCCCATCTCTATTAAGAATACAAAAATTAGCTGGGTGTGGTGATGCGTGCCTGTAATCCCAGCTACTCAGGAGGCTGAGGCAGGAGAATTGCTTGAACCTAGGAAGTGGAGGTTGCAGTGAGCCGAGATCGCACCACTGCACTCCAGCCTGGGTGAAAGAGTAAGACTCCATCTCGGGAAAAAAACAAAAAATTGTACATTTGTAAGTACTAGCTAAAATCCTGTTTTCAGCCAGGCATGGTGGCTCATGCCTGTAATTTTAGCAGTTTGGGATGCTGAGGCGGGAGGATTGTTTGAGCTCAAGAGATTGAGATCAGCTTAGGCAAAATAGTGAGATCCTGTCTCTAAATAATATTAATAAATAAAATAAAATCCTGTTTTTGTCTCACCTCCTTCTCTGCATGATATTTCTCTATTATCTATATTGTCAATTTTGTTTCATCAAATAATTTTCAGTTTCTTTACAACCTTATTCCTCTATATTGATTATTACAGTGTCTTATGAAGCCTGAAACATCTTAAATCAGCCATATCATCTCTGTGTTTGATAGGAAGTTTATACCCATTTTCAGGGATTCCTTAAATAAATAAATATGGGTGTTTGAGTTCCATCTAAATATGCTTGTTTCTTTCTAGTCCCCACCACTTCTGATATGTTTACTTCCAAAGGGTCTTTGTACCTCCTACCTCAGACATCTTTGAAATACAACCTGCAGCAGTCCCAGCATCTTACTGATTTCTGTGTTTCCAGCTGAAATTGTCTCAGGAAACTTTACTTTGTACTCTCTCTTTTATTTTTTTTTTTGTCACTATACTTATGTATCACATTTGGTAGTATGCCATGTCATCCAAGAAATTCAAGAAGTTCAGTGGCCTGTGATGTGAATGTAAGATAGGCAGCCTCTCTAGTAAAGGGACTGACAGTGACATCTAAAGGGGCTAAGAGTGACATGTGAGGCATTTTGAACTAAAAAGGCCTGGATTCAAATCACTAGCTGTAAGCAACAAATCTCACTTCCTCCACTGAAGAAATGAAGGTCAATAATCTCCTAAATTGTGTCAAAACAACAACAGTTACTTAATCTACTTTTATCTAGTCACTAAGCTAAAATCAACCCTCTTCTTTCTATGCATGTTTTTCAACTTTTTATTTTTATTTTTAGCTAAAGGACTTTTTTATTGGCACAGTTCATTTCTACACTTTTTCTATTCTAGTATATCACATGTGTCAAATGCTCAAAAATTCTCAAGAGTTTTTGTGAGAAATCATTAAAAAGCAGCTAGCAGTGATCTAAATGTGGCCTTAAGTCAATATTATTAAAAGATTCTTTATAAGGACTATACAAGTGCACCAGCAATAAATATTAACACAAGGACTTTCTCTTCGCTATTGACCATCTCCACACGCCCACGTATACACGAATACTTTAGATAGATGTGGGAACTGCTCTCAAGCCTGGCTGATCACTTGCCACTGTGGAGCTTTTAAATACATAACTTGTTGAATACTCTATCCTAGAGATTCTGATTTAGTGGACTGGGACTAGGATCTAGGAATATCAGTGCTTTTAAAACTCTACATGTAATTCTGAAATTTGGTCAGGTTTTGTAATAGATGACAGTAACGATGCACAGGACATGAATACATAGATTCTAAAAGTTACTATTCTACTGCTGATACAATTTTTTTGTTGGGAGGATTATCTGGAAAAGAAAATATTGTTATTTTTATATGACTATGACTATTATGACATTTTCTTTTGCTAGAGCAACCAAATTTGACAAGAAAGATCAAGGCTTATTAAATATAAAACACAAAATAATTGACTCAGAGATTACTGTTGGGATCTATCACTCTTAGTAATTTTTAAAAATAAATTTTTTATTCTTTCCCAATAGAGATATAAATTGAAATATAAAATTTTGTTTGCTTACACTTCACAATTGAATTTGTGAGTAAAAGACTAAACATTCATAAAAAAATTAAATATATTGAATAGGTCATCATAATTCAAATTATTTTCTTTTGTATTCTTTGAATGTAAAATGAACTGGCACATTTAAATTAAAGGATTTTCAGAGAAAATTACTATTATAAAACCCTTTACTATTTTAAAATACAAAGTAAGAATATTTATTGAAAGGGTGACAGAAACATACATGATTTGTAAGTTGATTAAATAAAGCATTGCAAATTGAACAGCATGTGTAACTTCTCTCACTAACATAACAGCCAAATGAATCTGTATTAGTCTGTTTTCACACTGCTAATAAAAACATACCCAAGACTGGGTAATTTATAAAGAAAAAGAGGGTTAATGAACTCATAGTTTCACATGGGCACGGAGGCCTCAACATCATGGCAGAAAGCTAAGGAGGAGCAAAGGCACATCTTACATGGTAGCAGGCAAAGAGAGAATGAGAAACAAGCAAAAAGTGTTTCCTAAAACTATCAGTTCTCCTGAGACTTATTCACTACCACAAGAACAATATGGGGGAAACCACCCTCATGATTCAGTTATCTCCCACCAGGTCCCTCCCACAACATGTGGGAAATATGGGAGCTACAGTTCAAGATGAGATTTGGGTGGAGACACAGCCAAAGCATATCAGAGTCCATACTTGTATTCAGAAAATTCTAATTTTAAGGTAAATCCTTCATGAAATATATTTCCTTTATTTTAACCCATACTGAAGAAGAAAAACAGGGCTGTAATGTATTCAATATAACTTTTTGAATTAGTGAAAACTGCTATTTAACTCTCCTGTTAAGGTAAACCATCAGATATTGGGCATAATCCTCTATAATGGATCACACTGATTTTGAGTACATTGTAGCATTACAAGGTAAACTACTAAACCAGGCATACTTCCCATCTCTCCTCTTTTAACCATGGAAAACATGAATAATTAAATATTAAACTTTCCTACTGAATCTGAACTCGACCTCAAAATCCTTCTAGAGGCAGCAGCACTCTGGCCACTGCCAATGATCAGTGATCATCCTGTTTTAAAACCTTTTTTTGTATGTGTTATTTAAATATCAGGGATAATATTCACACTTAAAAATTTTTTTTTGCAATGTGCAACGTGTAGCTCACATTTTCCAGATATATCCAAATTAGGATGTGTGCAGTTTGCACTAATAAGCAGAAACCAACAAGAGTACACAAATTTTTAAAATCCTAGTACAACTCTGTAATATACGGAACACTAATACTACAAGATTATAATACATCTCAAATTATTTGCTTTGTTGCTTCTGTTATTATGGCATTCACCTGTAGTATTTTAGGCATGTTCATGGAATTAATTAATACCCTTTTGTGTCATTCTTTCCACAGTATTTAAACATCTTTATTTTTATCTGTTTAAGGGCTTCCATCAGATCCCTATTTGTTCTTCCCTTAATTTTTCTACAATCTTCATATTCTTCAACTACTTTAGTTTTATTAGAATGTGTTTTTATTCATTCACTCTTCATTTAATGTAGTTTTACCTCAGCTTTCCTTCTCTCATATATTTCAAATAGCATTTCTATCTCAGTGGGTTTTACACCCTTAATAAACTTGCTCCCCACACATCCGCTAGACCACAGGTACCCAGTTCAAGAAATATACCCTGGCTCAGTTTGTTTCCTGCTGTTTTGATCTCTCTTCATTGGAATCTGTCTTCTCAGACACACATTCTTGCCTCACATTAGAATTTAGTCTCTCTGCTTTGCTCCTTCCATACCAAAGTCTCAATGATACTTTGTGCCTGACCATTTTGCCTTTGACGCTCTTTTAGTCTATCTAGTACAACTCTGATAATAGTTCAGTTCCATCCATGTCGAACCCAAGCACTGATGAGTTCAGTCTAAATTTAGTATCTGACATTCCCATTTGTTCAGAATGAGAAGTAAGAAAGTGAATGTTGATAGTTCTCATGTCAGCAAGATGATAAACTGATTTCCAACTTCATGTCCTACTCATCGGTATCTGATTTTCTAATTTTCCATTATCGTTATCTCAGTTCACTTAAAGTATGCATTACATAATTTTTTATAATATTAAAAAACTTGACTTTTGTGTAATATTTCTTGATATAACCACAGATATGCTGAAGTATTTTTTTCAAGATTTTGAAAATCTAGTAAGGATACATTATTCTAGTGGTCCTCAATATATTAAGGCAACCAAATATTTTCTGTTTTCAAGCTTAAGAAAACAAATTCTTCATCATATCACATAGTTAGCCTAGTTCTACTTTTTAAATAAAACATCTCACATTAATGTTTATGCCACTAAAAGAGAGCATGCAGATGGTGTTAACGTTTAGTTCTTTTGAAGAATGTGTGATAAATAGAAAAACAGAGCCAAAATCATTAAAAAGTATATTAACATCTTAATTAGGCTGGTTTAACCTTGAAGTCTCCACAAATGAGCCAAGCTATATCAAGTTAGTTTTTGTGTTTTCATCATGACTCTTGATAAAAATTTAAGTGCAAAATCTGAGATCCAAAGGGATGTATGATTTAGGTGAACTTGAACTTCTGAAGAAATTATGACCTCATTAATTATGAGAAAGTTATATGAATAATATAGGGAAATTTCTGTCTTACTTCCTGGAGAAATTTGTGAACAGCTTTATTAAAGGTACTTCTCATTGCTGCATAACAAATTATCACAAACTTAGCAGCTTAAAACAACACATTTATTATCCATAGTTTCAGTGGGTCATAAATCTGGTCATGGCATAGTTGGGTGCTCTGTTTAGGGTCTCCTAAGGCTGCAATTAAAATGCCATCCAGAACTGGGTTCTCATCAGATGCTTGATTGGGAAATGATCCACATTTACACTCTCTTGGTTGTCAGCAGCTTCCAGTTCCTTGTGGCTATAGGATTAATGGAGCTGTGCTTCTTTCACTTAACACAGTATTTTGAAGTCAGTCTATGTTGTAATATGTATCCATATTACATTGCTTTATATTGTAAGATAGTATTCAATTGTATGAATACACTACCACATCTTGTTTAACAATTCGCATTGGCATTTGGGTTTATTCCCTGCTTTCTGGCTACTGTAAATAGTGTTTCTGTGAATATGCACATACAAGTCTGTGTGGACATGTTTTCATTTCTCTTGTGCAGATATTTTCTGGAGAAACTTAACACAGATTCGTTTGCACTTTTTTTTTTTTTGGCTTAGTAGTTCTAACATTGCATGCTAGATACCTCATGTAACCAAAAGTTAAGCCCTCATTAGAGGAAACATTCACCATGGGACTATGCTGCTTTGCATTTGATTTCCATGGTTGATTTTCTCTGATTAAAAGTGAGTCATATGTCAAATTTGAATGGAAATGGGAACCTGTAGTGAGAGAGTAATTTTCAGAAAAATGTGAAAATTTCTCTTCTTTGAAAGTTACTGCTGTTCAGCAGCATCAGAAACATGCCGATTTATGGCAACTTCCACAAAGATCCTAGAAATTTTATGACATGCAAACTTAATCATGTGATGTTAAGTGTTTCTACATCTGTGCTTACAAAAGAAATGAAAAATCACATTAAGAAGAAATATTAAAGTACATTCTATTTGGAATTGTGTTAAAATGACACCATACTTACATAAAGCATTTAAGAATTGCTTTATTTATTTATTTATTTATTTATTTATTTTGTTTATTTAAGAATTACCAATGAGGAAGCTTTCTCAATCTTTATGAATTAAGTAATAGAGATTAGAGTAAAATCTAATTAATTCAGACTTCAGTGATCAGAACTTATAACAATCTATGTAAAGGTTAGAATAAGAATTATACTTGTAATGCTTATAAAGAAAAGCTTTGAAATATAAATACATTTCTTAATAATGATTAAACTACTAGTTGTATACTGCATGTCTGTATCCCCCAGAAATTTATATAAAATTTATACCCCCAAATATGATGGTATTTGCAGGTAGAGGCTTTGGGAAATAGTTAGGTTTAGATGAGATCTTGAAGGTGGGGCTCCCATAAAAGGATTAGTGGCCTTTTAAGAAGCAGAAGAGATGATCAGAGCTCATTCTTTGTCCACCATGTTAGGCCATAGTGAGTAGATCACCTCCTGCAACCCAAAGGGAGAGCCCTCGCCTGACATGGACACTTCTCTCACTTTGATCTGAACTTCCTAGCCTCTGAAACTGTGAGAAACAAATGTCTGTTTAAACCACATAGTCTATGGTAATTTGCTATAGCAGACTTAGAAGAATAAAGCACCACCTCAGGAGGAAAATATTTTTAGTCTCCCCACGAATTTCAGAAACTTGCATTTAGTTAAAGGTAATCTCTTTGCTAATTATAGATTATTTTAGTTTATACATTGGAGAGAATCATTAATATAGTACATAGGTTATAATCTTATAATTTTAGGGGCCATTGGTAATATATTTTGATCAAGTGCATTTACATTATCATATTCTATAATGTCAACTCTCCATAATACTAACTTGTCATTCTCCAAATTCTTCTGAACAACTGAAGTTTGTTATAGTTGTTTCTTTCATTAAAATATAAGATGTTTTGTAGGGAAACAACTTTTTTCCTCTTGATAGATGAGATCAGCATATTTTTATATGCTCATGATAAGACACACTTTTTATAATCTTTCAGAATATCTTCTGATATGGTTTCCTTCCAAGTTGCTTTTGCAGTTATTTTATAAGTACTTCAGTGAGTGCAGCTCTGTATCAAACAACTATATACAAACATTGTTTTTTATATACAATATTATACTCTTATTAATTCATAGTGACTTATCTTTGTACATTTCAATTTATTTAATACAAACCAAAACTTAATTAAACAAGGTTATGAGTAGGAAGATTGTATGGAATTGTATTTATTTAATAAAAGAGCAAGGGGGAATCACTTTTCTAGATTTATTCTTATGGTCCCATTAGTCATCAATTACATGTAATTACTTCCTAGGATAATTCCACACATTAGTTCTATGAATACAGGGTTCCAAGTTTGAAGACAAATAGTATTGTAAGCAGTGCATTGTAATAATTGAAATGAAATGTGTGTTTTATTAATCTACATCCAAAATTCTCAACTTTGATACTATTGACCTTTTGAACTAGATAATTGCATTAGTTCGTTCTCACATTGCTATAAAGAATTACCTGAGGCAGACTAATTACTAAAGAAAAGAGGTTTAATTGCTTCACAGTTCTGCAGGGTGTACAGGTAAATGGCTAGGGAGGCCTCAGGAAACTTACAATTATGGCGAATGGCAGAGAGGAAGCAAGCACCATCCTCACATGGCAGAGCAGGAGAGAGAGAGAGCCAAGGGGAAGTGCTACACACTTTCAAAAAACCAGATCTCATTAGAACTCACTTACTATCAGAAGAACAGCAAGGGGGAAATCTGCCCCCATGATCCAGTCACCTCCCATCAAGTCCCTCCCCCTACATTCGTGATTACAATTCAACATGAGATTTGGCTGGGGACACAGAGTCAACCACGTCAATGATTCTTTGTTCTGGAGCCATTTTCTGTGGATTGGAGAAAGTTTAACAGTATCCTTGGCATCTATCTATAGAATAGATAACTGTATCATTCCTCCCACCTCCTGTGACAACCCAAAATAACTCCAGACATTGCCAAATGTCCCCTGGGGATGGGGTAAATCACCACTGGTTGAGAACCACTGATATAAATGGAATGTTTTCTATTTTTAATAGTTGAATAATAGATATTCAATTTTTTTCATATCTACCTTTACTTTGGAAGAAGTATGTTTGCAATTTCCTAACTTTTATGAGGCTCAGTTTTCTTATTTGTAAAGCACATGTACAGTAATACATTGGATTATGTAGAATAATGAGATTAAATATATAAATCAGCTAGAGTAATAATTTATACATGCTAGAAACTTCATTTCTTTTATTCCTTCTTACCTGACTTTCATAAGGAAAATTTTGAAATTCAGGTGTTAGAGATCAGTTAGAGTTTTCTTAGTAGAGGAATTAAAAATTTCAACAAAGTTTATAAAACCCTGGAGTTGTATTAAAAGAAAATCAAACCTTAAAAAGTGAAGAATCTAAACCTCAGGTCGAAACAGATACAAGGAATTGGATAAACTGCAAGCATAACTAAAGGCTTTTAGCCCTGGAAGTACGTCAGTGAAGAACCAAGAGTTAAATTGGGTCTGGTCCCTGAGAGGTGAACTGTTGTACTGATATTTTATACCTTTGACTTAGGATCGTTGGCTCTGTTAGTCTTAGTAATCATGAAAACTGAAATGCTGCCTGGCTGAATCTTAGGGCAAATACTGACACCTGTACCTAGCGAGGAAATTACTAAACAGTTGACAGGGATATAAAATAGGAAAAATCTATCTGATTAAGAATTAGAATACAGAAGAGTGGTTAGCATCAGAGTTAGAAGGCTGGTGTTCCAAACTGCAGTCTTGATCCCATGACTTGACATATAACTTTTCAGCTAGCATTGGAAACTTTACCAGTGACATTTTGATTCCAATTTAAGGAATGTGAATAATATATCAGATAGATGTTGGACTTCTTTAAATTCAAGCTACATTTGGCATATGTTTCATAAATTCTGGTTATGTTGTTAGCATAAGCACTCTCAGTGTTGCAAGTAAGTTGCATTTCAAATTCTTTCATTTTAGTTTAGGTGGACCGCTGCCCTTAAAGGAGAACCTTGTGGAGAAATTCAGTTGCTGAGAGGTTGTAGTCATCTAGCCACTGGCTACCAACTCCAGAAATGATATTCAAATGTGCTGGCCTTCCTTTTAAAGTTGACAGTTTCCAGGGGCAGTCTTTGCACTGTGTTGCTATGAAACTAAAAATATAAGCAAATTTTTACCACCTGAAGGCATTATTTGATCTATTCTCAAGTAGAGAATAATGTCTGTGGCTATCTTACATAAGAATCTAAGAGTAGAAGCATCACATACATGGTATTCAAAGTAAGTTTGCAAGCTAAACTCTCTAGGGTCTTTTGGTTAATAATAAACATAAAACCATGTATAGTAAATGAGCCTGTATATCATGAATCTCTACATTAATCCTGCTTTAGCAGTTGGTACAGGAATCCTTTGCTTTTTCTCATCTAGCATTGAGTTCAGATATTAGTCACAATTTTCTTTCTTCTATTTGTATAACAATGTGCAGCAACCTTTCCATAGGCAACATACTGAAGTGTATATTATGGTCTAAGGAATTTCTATAAAACCATAGCTTAATATTGGCATGGCATTTAAAAATATGACAATATTATTCCAGTAAACTTTAGGTTTTGATGATTTTAATATAGATATAAATGCTAAATAAAAGAGTGATGAATTTAAATTTGAGCACTCACTACAGCTTCATTATTTTTCTATTTTTCCTTTAAAAATAATTGAGGTATGTTTACGTGAAGTACCTTTATACTTTTTACAAAATATTCTTTTTGGATGGGTTTAGATTGCATCATTGCTATAAAAACTTAGTTTTCTTGTATTTTTAAAATCTTACAACACAGGATTTATTCAACCAACTTTACTATTTGGCTTTTCTTGTATCCTTTTTCTTTTAATTCAGTAAAACGTTATAAAACCAAAACCAAATTAGCATTACAAATGGTAAAACGCTTTGTAAACTCTATCTTGTTTATTTCCCCAGCAGCTGTTGATAGGGCCCCTGCCCTGGAACAAGAAGACCAGGCCCATCCTAAAATATTTTACATTATCTCCCAGAAACCTGAGCGTGTTTGACTTTTTAAATGCTGATACATGTTAAATATTCGGTATATCAGAAAGATATGACTTGCCTTCAGACATTTAGATGTTCTAGCTATCATTGCTGCGCGTCAGCTTACTCCCAACTCTGGGGACTAAAAAACACCTACCATATTGTTATACACTATCTTTTGGTGCATCAAGAAAGTGGTGATTTGTTACACTGTAATAGATAACTAATATGTCACTTAAAAATAGTTCTTCATTGAGCTATATAATATCATCTGCAAGGAGTCTTGTCAATGAAGTTTGAATCTAGAATATTGATCTTCATTTAGAGAATGCTTCTACTTTTATTTACTGTTTCGGATCTGTCTAGATTTCTGACATTATTAACCCCCAGAGATTAGAGCTATGTGTATGATTTCTGCAGAGTGCCACAAATGTGAGAAGATAGCCAAAACATATGATTTGGTATAAATGATACTTGAAAATGAATATAACATCTCAAATCACTTAAAGTTTATACAAATTGAGTAAGTTTAAACATGCAAAATGTAATGACTATAAAAATATTGTGACAATGGAGTAATTCTTGAATAATGTGTTTGCATGAATTCCCAGAGTTATTTTAAACTAAATGCTAAATTTATGTTATGACATATATTTACAAATTTGAAAGTGTTATTATTCATATGAAAACATTTTTTTTTTACCCAAAGTATCCTCGGAAGCCAATAAGAAAACATGACATCTTCACAAGACATAGAGTTCTCACTGACTTATATTTGTAAAAATTCATCTGTGAAATGCATATTTAATATGTGATCTTGCATCTGGCTTTCCAAATGAAAATTATAAAGTTTCTATTAGTTATTTTCAAATATATTAAACACACTAATGGCATCTTTCAGAAAATTATTTTACATTATTTCGAGTAAGGACTTGCCTGAATACTGACCAGGTTTAACTAGAAAATTGACGTGAAACAAACAGTAACATAAATTCCCTTCTACTATTTAAATGGAGTTAAAAAAAAAAGATATACAAAGTTTTAAGTTTTACAATAGAAGTGCCATAAATGTTTAAACCATATAAATGAATGTCTAATTAATTTTGCCTCAGGAAGAGGTATATCTCAGTCTCATGAGGAGACTGAGTCTTATGAGAGGAGATAAAATTGAGGTGAGTTTATAAGAGTCAGTAGAACTGCTTTGATAGAAAAAAAGGGAGACTAGGATGTTGTAGGTAATCAGACATGTGCATGATGTGAAAATTTATAACTTGTTAGGGGATATGAAGGAGAACTGTTCGAAGTCAAGAACTGATGTAGGAAAATAGTAGAAGATAAAGAGGGACAAGTTGGAGGATGACTTTTTAGATAATTCAGCTCAGTTCTACAAAAATGTATTACATCTAACTACGTTCCAGGTATTATAAATCTGGCAAGAGAAGAGGCTGTTACTGAAGTCTGGTAGGAAGATATTGAGGATGTGGATTGAGATGATAGTGTCTCAGTGCTCTTTACTTTTTATCTTAGTTTATTATCAATGTTATTGTAAGCTATGGATTGTGACAAGGAGCAAAAAGCTGAACAAACAAATGCTAATCTTTGGACTAACAATTTCTTAGATAGGAATTTTGTCAAAATGCAAGCCAATAGCATCTGTTAATGACTAGATGTAGGCAGAGAAAATTGGGACATACTAGTCTCCCATGTTTCTAGTTTTTGAAAACAGAAAAATAATGGGATCGATTGGAAGAATGATACATCTATGGAATCAGAAAAAGGAAGTTAGAAGTTCCAGGTGTGGAATAAATAATGAGATCAGTTTGGGAGTTTTCTGAGTTCTAAGTAACAATAGGCTACATTACTGGATATATACAAATACATGGTTTTACCTTGATATTAAATCCAAACACAGACATTACAAGAAAAGAAAATTTTATGACAATAGCCCTCAGAGATGCAACTGTCTTTCACAAATATTAACAATAAAATCCAGCATTATATAAAAATAATATATGACATAGTCAAGTGTAGTTTATCTCAGAATACCAAGTGAGTTTAACATTTGAAAATCAATTAATGTACTATAACACATTAATAAAATATCAGGACAAAAAACATGATCTCCTGAATAGATGCAGACAAGGCATTTGATAAAATTCAATATCTTTCAAACAAACTTGGAATAGATAATAGTATGCACAATTTGATAAAAAGATACCCACAAGAAATCTATGGCTAATGTCATTTTTAGTAGCGAAAGGCTGAATGCTTGCATCAAGCAGTATCATAACTTCTGGCAGCTGCACCGTTGGATTTTACCACTTGTTTGCCCCTGAGATTGCAACTGTCTTCTACAATGTCCTGGACATGAGGATTTACCCTACTCTACTCAAATCAAATCAGATCTCTCTGGCTGCAGAACAGCTACTAATTGCAGCTAACCCTGTCACGGAGAACTACCAAACTAGAGAAATGTATACACATACAAATTCCAAAAGAGTAATATGAACCTCAAGAATCAAAGGATTATGTGGTAGCCAGGTATTGAGCTTTGAGTTCTGGACAGAGTTTACCTAAAGTCAATAGTATTTCTGCTAGCTCCAGAGCCCCTGTCAGGGACTTTCCTTGCCTAAAGAAACATTGAGAAATATAACATCTGGGACTTTCAATCAAGAATACAGTAACATAAAAATTGTCTATCATCATTTTTAAGAAGTTATCTAAAATTAACAAGAACACTACAAAACAGGTAATTCTGACTTTATAGAAACCAGGATATCACTATACCACCAAATTAACAAATAAATACTATAATGGTCTCCCAAATCTATGGAAAAAAAACAAGGATGGCTGTGAGAGAAAGCTGAGAGTTACCATGGTAACTAATATCAGGAAAAGACAAAGAAATAAATTTCTCTGAGATGATCGGCATAAGACATGAAACCTAAATTCATGTTCACAAAAGTAAGAATGGTCTGCATGTGCCACAGCCAGGATGTATCTTAGGCCTTATTAATATATGATAAGCAGGAAAAAGAGAATTTGACCAGGCAGCATATGCGATTTGATTTAACTCAGGTTACATGCAATTACATACTCACAAAAATTGTTTTTTTCCATGTCTTGGCTATTGATAATAATGCTACAAGAGACATGGAAGTGTAGATATCTCTTCCAGCTACCGATTATATTTCCTTTAGACTACATACCTTGTAGTGGGATTACTGAATCAGGCGGTAGTTTTATTTTTAATGTTTTCAAGTACCTCCATACTCTGTTCTATGACGGCTGTACCAATTTACATTCCCACCAACAGTGTATAGGGTTTCCTTTCCTCCACATCTCACCAACACTTGTTGTTTTTCATCTTTAGTATTATAGCCATGCTAACAGGCTGGGGTGATATATCATTGAGGTTTAAATTTACATTTCTCTGATTATTAGTGATACTGATCACTTTTTCTTATACCCATTAGCCATGTGTTTGTCTTCTTTGGAGAAATGTCTATTCAGATTGTTTACTAGTTTTTTGACTGAAGTATTTGTTTTTTGTTTTGTTTGTTGATTTTTGCTATTGAGTTGAATTAGTTCCTTATATATTTTGGATGTTAAATCTTTATGAGATACATGGTTTTAAAATGTTTTCTCCTGTTCTATAGATTATCTTTTCATTTTCTTGTTTTGTTTGCTGTACAGAAGCTTTTTAGTTTGATGCAGCCCCACTTATTTATTTTTGCTGTTGTTACTTGTGCTCTTGATGCTATGTTCAAAAAGAAAATTACTGTCAAGACCAAAGTCAAGGAGCATTTTCCTTATGTTTTCTTCTAGTTTTATGAATTCAGATCTTACATGTAAGTGTTTAATCCATTTTGAGTTAATTTTTGTGAGTGGCATAAGTATCCAATATCTTTTTATTTTTTTGCATGTAGATACTCAGTTTTCCCAACACCATTTATGAAGGAGATTGTCCTTTCCCCATTGTTTATTCTTGACAATTTTGTCAAATGTTGGCTGGCAGTAAACATATGCATTTATTTCTGTGATTTCTATTATGTTTTGTAAATCTGTGTGTCTGTTTTATGCTAGTCCCATGTGTTTTGGTTATTATAGCTTATTATAGCTTTGTAGTATACTTTAAAGTCATGTAATGTGATGGCTTCAGCTTTGTTCTTTTTGCTCAAGACTGTTTTGGCTCTTTGGGGTCTTTTGTGGTCCCATTAGAAATTCAAATTTTTTTCTATTTTATGAAAAAATAATGAGTATTTTGATAGGGGTTACATTAAATCTGTAGATCACTTTGGGTAGCATGGACATTTTAACAAACACCAGCTGCCAGTCTTTTTGTTGTAAAAAAAAAAAAAAAAAAAAGTCCAGATGAATGCGAACCCTTTTTCTGGATTAGTTTCATCAATGCTTTGTCCCTGAAATCAGGAAGCACCTTGTCTGTAAGAGACTGCCTTTTAAAGTTCTTTTGATATTGGACCAGGCCCCTGACCACCAGAACACCATGAGTTTCACACTGAAGGTGTTAAAGTGGTCTGCTTGCCCCCAAACAGAGAGTTTCTAATTCAACGTCTAGATAATTGTGTCATATGGACCTTTAGGTTCATTACACACAGAACTATATAGAAAAGATTGTCAACACTATGAAACAGAGCCCTGATAAAATATTATTAAACTCTGGAAGGTTTACACCATTGAAAATGCCATTGTTGTTACAGAAAAAGCCACCAAGCCCCAAACAGTAAATTCCTGCCAGAGAAGTTCAAAATATAGATCTTAATGGAATTCAGGAGATTACTTAATAGAGGTGAGTGCTTCTGAACCAGTGCTCGATGATGAAGAAGAAGATGTAGAAGAAGCAGTGCCAGGAAACAAATTGACATTAAACAATCTGGGAAAAGGGTTCAGATTATTAGAGACTGCTTCTGACTTCTTTTACAACATGATCCCTTCTATGATACAAGCACTAAAACTAAAGCAAACAGTGGAAGAAGCATCGGTACTGTATAGAAACATTTTGTGAGAAAAAAAATGTCAGATAGAAACTATATTTCCATAAAATTATCCCGAGTGTGCCTGCCTCTCCTCTCTCCCCTTCCACCTCCTCCATCTCTTTAGTCTCTGCCACCAGAGACAGCAAGACCAATCTCTCCTCTTCCTCCTCGGCCTACTCAATGTGAAGATGACTAGGATGAAGACCTTTGTGATGATCCACTTCCACTTAATGAATAGTAAATGTATTTTCTCCTTCTTATAATTTTCCTAAGAACACTTCTTTTCTCTGGCTTACTTTATTGGAAAAAATATAGTATATAATACATATAACACACAAAATATCTGTTAATCGACTGTTCATGTTATCAGCAGGGGTTCCAGTCAACATTAAGTTATTAGTTGTTTATGGGAGATCTAAAGTTATATGTGGATTTTTGATTGCACAGTGGGTCAGCGCCCCTAACTTCACAATTGTTCAAGGGTCAAATATATAAATAAATAAATATATATATATTTATATATGTAATATAAATAACACACAGAGATAAATGTGGTGTGTTATTCATATACATTTATTTATAAGTCCACATGTAAGTTTATAACATTTATATATGAACTTGATGTAGAAAACATGAAACAAGAAATTACTGATAGTATTTAAAGTGTTATTCAGCCTCAGGTTTTTATTTATCTTCTGTATTTTATTTGTATTGTTAATGATGATAAATTCATAAACATCAAAAATGAGAAGATATAAATGTTTAAAGTTTTCTAGATGAAATAGAAGTAGCTGATGTTTTGTTTGCATGTCGGGGTGCACATAATTGCATTTCTTTGACGTTCACAATTCTTATTTATCTTTTCTCCTTTTGGTGTCTGGGATTTATCAGGCAAGAGTTATGTATCAGTTTTCCTATTACCAAATGAGACATTTTAAAAAGTCACAGACACTTCAATATATGTATCAATTATGTACTCCAAGTTTCAAAAAAGGCACTTACATTTCACTTTACATGATAAATTCACTTTCAATTTATATATTTTGGCTTTAAGCAAGGTGGTATTGTGATTCTGTTTTGAAAATCAAATTTATTCAACTTATTAAAAACATCTGTAGCTTATTCTAGTTGTCGCAGCTATGATATATTTAAGAAATATTTTGCTATTGAAATGTTTAAATAAAAAAATAATTTATTTATTTTGAAAAACACCAGCACCCTGCTTCTGCAAGTTGAACCTCTTAACTTTCCTATGAAAAAAATAAATTCTTGAATTCATTGCAAGTAAACAATAATTCTGAAATATCTGCAAAAAAATGGCCTTAAGCCCGACATAGCCACAAATATATAGAGAATTATATTCATTTGTCTTAAAATATACTGCAATGTTTTAATCAATTTGTGTTCCTTCACATAACAATATTTGAACATAATTTAGCAAAACCCTTTATAATATCTACTAATCCTGCAATTTTCCTCATCATTGTATTTTGACCATTGCTAAAGAAATCACTACATTTTCCCCAAATCTTGTACTAGTATGTTAAAATTAATCTAAACTCTTAATTTACTCTATTTGGTTCCCAGAATTTACTTGAAAAAAATATTTTTTCTTATCTTTTCATGATGAGATCTAAACTGCCCCTGCTTTTGCCCAGTCAATTTTTAAACATTTAATATAATTTTAGCTTTCAAATACAAAACAAATTGTCAAATATTCTTGAAAGATATATATACATAACTTTACATATAAAATAATATATAAAGATATATATACATCTTTAGATATATAAAATAATAATCCTTATTTTTTCATGATCTTGTCCATATTTCATACTCATTTCTGTGTCTATAGTAGAAGATATATGACTTGTTTTCCTCCAATAACAAATGCCTCTCTCAAGTTCATTATAGCTTTTTCTCTTAATATTACTTTAAACATATAACCTACATCAACAAATCAATCATAAGTAGTCATTTGTTTCCCTTAAAGTTTATCCAGCCTCTAGCTCCTTTCTTCTGCATTCTCAATTAAGAAATAGGAATATTTGACTCTCAAATTTTTAGATCCAGTTACCTACTCACACCTAAACTCCAGACTTTTATGAACCTGTTTACTGAAGATCTTCACTTAAATGTCAAATGAACCATTCAACTTAATCTGTTCTGAACCACATCATTCCCCTATTCCTAAAACATGTTTTTTTTTTTGTTTTTTTTTTTTTGAGACGGAGTCTCACTCTGCTGCCCAGGCTGGAGTGCAGTGGCATGATCTCGGCTCACTGCAAGATCCGCCTCCCAGGTTCAGGCCATTCTCCTGCCTCAGCCTCCCAAGTAGCTGTGACTGCAGGCACCCCCCACCCACCACACCTGGCTAATTTTTTGTGTTTTTAGTAGAGATGGGGTTTCACACTGTTAGCCAGGATGGTCTCGATCTCCTGACCTCGTGATCCGCCCGCCTCGGCCTCCCGAAGTGCTGGGATTACAGGCGTGAGCCACCGTGCCCGGCCCATAACATAATTTTTTGTGTTCATTTCAAAGTTACACTTCTAGTCATCAAGGTTGTTCAACCCCCAAACCAGAACTCCATCTTTGACTCTCTCCTATGACATGCCACATCCAAAACCTCCAGCCAATACTTCCTATTTTAGTTTCCGTAAAATCCCAGATGTGAGCATGCCTTACAACACCCACTGCTAATACCGTTTTCTCCTTACAATAACTACTCTCTGATGTCCTTCCTGCATCCCATCTCCAACAGTATCTTATCATAGAGCAGACCTTCCTCAAACCAATTAAATTGTTCCCTACCGCATTCCAAAGAAAGGCAATGTTTACTTACTAACTTCCGCAATCTACATGATCTGTTCCATTTAATTTTCTATCACTGTTACTCATTGAGCTCAAGCCATGTGACGCTTATCAAACACTTTAGGGATTTTTTGCATCTGACCCCAACTATTAGCTATTCCTGGTTTCTGGAATACCATTCCTTGTGTTGCAGACAGTGTTTTGGAACGCCATATTCCCACATTACATTCAGATCTCAGCTTAAATGTCACCTCCTCAGAGAAGGCTTCCTGCAATTCTTTTTCTAAGGTACAAATGTTATTCCATATTTTCTTTCCCTGCTTCTCCTTCCTTAATATATATATGTTTAACTGATCTTTTATATAGGGTTATTTCTTTATCATTTATTGTTGTCTCCTACACTGGAAGGAAGCCCCAGAATAGCAGGATGTCTGTTTTGTTTCTTGATTTTCTGCAAACACCTAGAACAGTGCCTGGCATAGAGAAAGTGCTCCAAATAAATTTGTGGCATAATGAATGTTTGAGAGAGACAAATTGATTAACAAACTCTTATTTTCCCCACAGCTGGACCAGTGCTCTTTCTCTGCTTATGCATATTTCATTTCTCAAGTAGCCAACATTCTCTCAGAATTGATTTCAGTTTATTGTGCATGCCTGAAAAGATAGTAACAACATTTATCACAAATCATTTATCATTTAGATTGTTTCACTAATTTGCCTTGACATTGTGCCCTGCATTGTCTGAAATCACTTTGGTTATAGATTTCTCCCTGTTTCTTTTCTTAAAATAAAACAAATGGTAAGCTGACATCCTGCAAAATAAAATCTAAGAAATAGGTGACCTTAAAATGTATTTTTATTGTATTCACAACCAAATTCTACCAGGTGTAAAAAGAAGAGCTGGTAACAATCTTATGAAAACTATCCCAAATAATCAAGGAAGTGGGATTCCTGCCTAATTCCTTCTACTAAACCAGCATCATCTTGATATCAAAATCTCATCAGGATACAACAATAAAAAAAGAAAAGTACAGGTCAATATCCCTAATGAAAATAGATGCAAAAATCCTCAACAAATTTCTAGCAAACCAAATCCAACAGCACATCAGGAAGATAATTCATTATAATCAAATGGGTTTTATTCCAGGGATACAAGAATGGTTCAACATTTGCAAGTCAATAAATGTGATTCACTGTATAAGCAGAACTAAAACAAAAACCATATGATCATCTCACTAGATGCAGAAAAATAATCAAAATCTAACATCCCTTCATGATAAAACCCTTCATAAACTAGCCATCAAAGAACATACCTCAAAATAATAGGAGCCATATATGACAAACCCACTTCCAATATCATACTGAATGAAGAAATGTTGAAAGCATTCCTCTGAGAATTGGAATATATCAAGGATGGCCACTCTTATCATTCTTATCCAACATATTTCTGGAAGTCTTAGCCAGAGCAATCAGGTAAGAGAAAGAAATAAAAGCCATCCAAACTGGAAAAGAGAGAGCCATCAAACTATCTCTGTTCACTGACGACATGATTTTTTTTTTTTTTTTTTTTTTTTTTTTGAGATGGAGTTTTGCTCTTGTTGCCCAGGCTGGAGTGCAATGCCATGATCTTGGCTCACTGCAACCTCCCGGCTCCAGGTTCAAGCGATTCTCCTGCTTCAGCCTACTGAGTAGCTGGGATTACAGGCATGGACCATCATGCCCAGCTAATTTTGTATTTTTTAGTAGAGACGGGATTTGTCCATGTTGGTCAGGCTGGTCTTGAACTCCTGATCTCCGGTGATCCACCTGCATTGGCCTGTCAAAGTGCTGGGTTTACAGGCATCAGCCACCACACCCGGCCTGACATAATCTTATACCTAGAAAATCCAACAGACTCCTCCAAAAAATGACTCCTAGATTTGATAAATGACTTTAATAGTTTCAGGATACAAAATCAATGTACACAAATCAGCAGCATTTCTACATAAAATAACATTCAAGTTGAGAACCAAATCAATTACTCAATCTCATTTACAATAGCCACACACACACAAACACAAACACACACACAAAGGCTAAAAATACGTTTAACCAAGAAATGAAAGAGCTCCACAAGGAGAACTACAAAACACTGATGAAAGAAATCATAGATGACACAAACAAATGGAAAAACATCCCATGCTCATGTATTAGAAGGATCAATGTCACTAAAATGACCATACTGCCCAAAGCAATCTACAGATTCAACACAATTTTTATCAAACTACTAACATTTTTCACAGAATTAGCAAGATATAATTCTAACATTCTTATGAAGAATGAACAAAGAGCCCAAATAGCCAAAGCAATGCTAAGTAAAAAAGACAAAGCCAGAGGCATCACATTATTGACTTCAAATTATACTACAAGGCTACGGTAAGTAAAACAGCATTTTACTGAAACAAAAATACCTCATAGATGAATGGAATAGATTAGATAACCCAGAAATAAAGCCATACATCTATAACCAAATGTTACTCAACAAATTTTTTAAAAATGGGAGGATACCCTATTTAATAAATGGTGCTGGGAAAATTGGCTAGCCACAGGTAGAAAAAAAAAAAAACTGGACACCTATCTCTCATCATATACAATTTTCTAGATTTTTTTATTTGAGACAGAGTTTCACTTTGTCACTCAGGCTGGAGTAAAGTGGTGCAATCTCAGCTCACTGCAACCTCCGCCTTCTGGGCTCAAGTGATTCTCATTCCTCAGCTTCCCAAGTAGTTGGAATTATAGGCATGGGCCATCACTTCTGGCTATTTTTTTTTTTTTTTTGCATTTTTTAGTAGAGACAAGGTTTAACCATGTTTCCCAAGCTTGTCTTGAACTCCTGGCCTCAAGTGATCCTCTGGCCTTATAATCCCAAAGTGCTGGGATTACTGGTGTGAGTCACCGTGCCTGGTAAAATTTTTATTTTTTTAATATTTTTTATTTATTTATTTATTTTTGAGCCAAGGTCTTGTTGTGTCACCTAGGCTGCAGTGCAATGGTATGAACATGGCTCACTACAGCCTTGACCCACTGGACTCAAGGGATTCTCCTGCCTGAGCATTCTGTGTAGCAGGGATTACAGGTGCACATCACCGCCAAGCGAAATTTTTTATTGTTTTAGAGACGGGTTCTCACTTTGTTGCCCAAGCTGGTCTCAAACTCCTGGACTCAAGCAATCCTCCCACCTTGGTCTTCCAAAGAGTTGGGACTTTAGGTGTGAGCTACCTACCACACCCAACCTCTTATACAAAAATTAACTCAAGATGAATTAAAGACATAAATGTAAGACCTGAAAGTATAAAAGTCCTAGAAAAAAAAAAAAAAAACTAGGAAAACCTCTTCTGTGCACTGGCCTACAAAAAGAATTTACGACTTAGACCCCCTAAAACAAACAAAGCAAAAGCAAAGTATACAAATGGGACTTGAACTAAAAAGCTTCTGCACAACAAAAGAAATAATCAACAGAGTAAACAGACAACATAAAGAATAAGAGAACATATTTGCAAATTATGCCTCCAGCAGAGGACTAATATCCAGAATCTACAAGGAATTGAAAGAATCCAACAACAACAAAAAAATTAAACCCATTGAAAAGTGGGCAAAGGACATGAACAGATATTTCTCAAAAGATGACATACAAGCAGCCAAAAAATACATGAAAAAATCTTCAACATTGCTAATCATCAGAGAAATGAAAATTAAAACCACAATGAGATATCATCTTATACCTCTAAGAGTGGTAATTATTAAAAAGTCAGAAAATAACAGATGTTGGCATGGATGTGGAGAACAGGGTACACTTATACATTGTTGGTGGGAATGTGAATTAGTACAACCTCTATGGAAAACAATGTGAAGATTTCTCAAATAACTAAAAATAGAACTACCATTTGACCCAATAATCCGGCTACCATCTACCCAAAAGAAAATAAATAATTATATAATGAAGACATCTGCATTAATATGTTGATCACAGCACTATTCACAATAGCAAAGTCATGGCATCAACTTAAGTGTCCATCAACAGTTGATGGGATAAAGAAAATGTGGTATGTGTATGCTACAGAATACTATACAGCCATAAAAAAGAGCAAAATCATGTCCCTCGTAGCAACATAGATGAAGCTGGAGGCCATTATCCTAAGTAAACTAACTCAAACAAAAAATCAAATACTGCAGGTCCTTAACTTATAAGTGGGGGCTAAACAATGAGTTCACATGGACATAAAGATGGAAACAATAGATATGGGGACTCTAAAAGGGGGCAGCTTGGGAGGGTGGTGAGGGTTTAAAAATTGCCTATTGGGTACAGTAGTCACTATTTGGGTGAGGGGTACACTAGGAGCCCAAACCCCACAATTATGAAATACATTCATATAACAAACCTGCACATGTATCTCCTGAATCTAAAATTTAGAATTTTATAAAAAGATTTAAAACTTTATAAGAAGTAAAAAAAAATGTATTTTTATTTTTTGGTTAACTATCCCATTATGAAGTGATAATAGAAAATTATTTACACATAAAAATAATTAGATTATTAGATTCTAATATTGTAAAATACAAATAATAAAATAAAAGAACATTTTACTTAAATGTGAGGCACTAAAATAAAATAATGTATTTGGTCCACATGGGTACTTGAGGAAATGTGGTAAACACTAGTTAGAAAGTGAGCTCTCTGAAATCAGAAGTCAGGCCTCATTTTCCTTATATTCCCAGCATAATGTTGCACTTGGCACTAAGAACAAACTCAGAAAATGGAAGAATGTTGAAATTATACAAGATAATGTATTTATAATGCTAAAATAATAGTAATGACATTTTCACAAATTTAATGCTGAGTGTTATTGTCTTTATCCAATTGCTTTGTAAAGTCTTTCTAAAAGACTATTTGTTTTGTTTTGGTTTTCTTTTTTTTCCCCCTGTAGGTCTTCCTAATTTCTGGTTTCCAAACATTTGGAATCAAATTAAAAATTGCTAGGCAGAGGCCAGGCGCAGTGGCTCACGCCTGTAATCCCAGCACTTTGGGAGGCTGAGGTGGGTGGATTACGAGGTCAAGAGATCGAGACCATCTTGGCCAACACGGTGAAACCGCACCTCTACTAAAAATACAAAAAAAAAAAAAATTAGCTGGGCGTTGTGGCATGCACCTGTAGTCGCAGCTACTCGGGAGGCTGAGGCAGGAGAATAACTTGAACCTGGGAGATGGAGGTTGCAGTGAGCAGAGATTGTGCCACTGCACTCCAGCCTGGTGACAGACTGAGACTCTGTTAAAAAAAAAATTACTTGGCAGAAAAATAACATGTAAAAGTAGAAGTATAAAATTCCAAAATGTCAAATATGTTAGTTTCTTACCTTTTTGTGTCTCCTACCAATGGCATTTTTAGTTTTTATAATACACTTTCAATCCTTTTATGACACCCACAATACTCAGGACTGGTATGTCATCTAGTACTGTAGGAAAGCTTCACCCAGTAATTTCTTAAGAGGGGGCCACAGGGCTTTAGTTACATCAAAATGTCTCCCCCATCAACCTGTTAAGAACTAAGATTTCTGTTCATTAAAAACTAATTTATTTGGTTTTATTATATTTTCTTTTAACTGTATCACAAATGCCACTCACTTTCCCTCAAATGGCACCCTGGCTAATGTGTTTAATATACAGAAATATCCAGGAAAATGTATGTATCCTTAAAATATTAGATATGGAGTTATGTATGATAATTTAATTCACATAAATTGCATTATGTCACTGATCAGGCTGTATAATTACAGATACACAGAATTAGCTAAAGTTATATTTAAAATGTTCTCTTCTTTGTATATTTGTTGTTTGGGTCTTATTTTATACACTATTTTTATCAAAGTTATGCCGGCCAGATTATCTTAGATGGACAGATATTCCTCACTCTTTTTTTTTGTTCTTTTTTTTCCTTCATATAAACTCATGTAAGAAGGATTGTTTACTTGACCATAACAGCATCTTAATCTGGGTACATTAAGATTACCATTTAAATTCTTTCAATATTTATTTTTTTTCTCATTTCAATTCATTCGCGTGCCAGTTTTGGTATTCTCTATTTTTTTGTTAATTAGCTCTTCTGTATGTTTATGCAGTTGTTGCTATTTTTATTTTATTTGTTAAATGCTTGTTTCTATTTTTCACATTTTCACTTTTTATATTGTTCATTTGTATCTTCTTTCTTTTTTCTCATTATAAGTCTTGCCAGAGATTTGTTGACCTTTGTTTTCTTTAGTGGCTCTGTTCTTAATTTCAACTTGTATTCCGCCTTTAACTTTATTGTTTCATTCATTGTTGCTTGTGTTTTTCTTTGTTGCTTCTCTATTGCCTTTGCTTTCTATGCCTTTGCTGTTTTGTATTTCTTATTTCTGGGGAGCATTAAATGATGTTGCAAAATATACTCAAGATTAGATCTTTAGGGCTTTTGAGAATTATTTCTACTCTAGGCTAAAAAAATGTCTTTTGAAAGTATCAGTTTTATATTAGACCATACTTTTAGCCTGCAGAAACGCTAGTCTTTTAAACTGAAAGACAACTGGTTTCTTATAATGGACTAAATATGTGTTATTCAATATTAGAGAATGGAAACATTAACTGAGTTCTTTTAGAACTTAGCACAGTAGTGTTAATCTACAGATCCTGATGAGTTAACATACTTTTCTCTAGAGCAGGTACTCCTTAGGAGTAATTAAACTAATGCCACATTATCTTCTATCAGTTTGTTTCAATGTATAAGCTTGAGAATTTTCTATCATGAAATGCAATGTCTCAATGGAAAATCATTAAATTATTACTATAAACTGTATAATTTTATGTGAGCCTAAATATGCAAACAAACAATGGACAGACCATATATGACAACAGAATTTGGCAGTAGCCAGCCCAGGAAGCCAAACCAAAACTCTGCAGCAATTGGCCCAGAACAATTAGGGCTTGACCAGTAACTACCAGGTTCCTCCGTCACTTCATCCTCTCCTCCTCCTCCTCCTCTTCCTCCTCCCCTTTCTTCTCCTTCCCCTTCTCCTTCTCCTTCTTCTTCTTTCTTCTTCTTCTTCTTTTTCTTCTTCATCATTATTATTAGCCCTGATTCTAACTCAGGACCAAAGAAAGTAAATATCTCTCCTAAACCAATCATACAATATGCTCTATTTTTAGTTAACCCACTTGCAGCTTCCCCATGCTTACAACATCCCTTCGGAGAATACGTGAAGCTTTTGCATTTTTCATTTTCCATTATGAAGCTTTTCCACTGCTCTGTCTGTATTTAAAACTCTGTCAGCCTTTAAAACTCTGTCAAATGCGAATTATGGTGGCTAATTGTCTTGATATAGCAAATTCTGAATAAATAGCCTGTGTTCTCATTTAATAGTGTGTGTTCATTTTCACATTTGCATGAGTCACTTCAAGTTAAAAGAATACATTTCAGTTAATTCATTTTTGTACATTTATAAAGTGGTTTTAGATCATTTGTTTTGCAGTCCTCACATCTATGGAATTGATTACAGAGTAGTTTTACTAACAGAAATTGTAACATGATTGCCCCATAATACAGTTTCCCAATGAACCTATGGGTTATTCATGAACTTCATATTCAAAGTACGTTAGAATTGCTGATTACAAATGACTTATAAACTTTACTTCATTGCAAAAATATGGGTTCACTAGTGTTTCATTATCACTAACCATTGTTTCTTTGAATATCAGGCTGCCACATGTGCTGAGACACGACAATTGTGTGAGATAAACACAGAGTTCTACCTCCTGCAAACACCCAGTAGATGAATAGAAAATCGAATTCTTGCCTCTGGGCATGTTCATATGGGTCTTTAAGATAGCGAAAAATCAATACTGATCTGAAAGAAGAAAAGAAGATTCTTTCTCCGTTAGAGCTGAATATACTTGAAAAAATATCCAAGCTTCTTTGTCAGACAGTCAGATAGTGGAACACAGATTAGTGAATCCACTTTTTCTAGTACAGAAAGTATCATAATGAAATTTTCGGGTGGCTCTTTATATTCTGCTGCAGGGAACGGCCACAAATCTATTCATAAAAAGATATTTGAGAAAGACAGAGTATTGCTTTCAATAAAGAGAAAAATTTCAGTAACTTGTGAAAATGTTGAATTTTACCTGAGCCCTAGGATCCCAGAAAACAAGGAAGGACAGTGATAAGAAACCCACCCCCTCTTTTTTGTTTCAAGAAAAGACAGCAAAGAAGCAGCCTTCCCCACATGCTTACATAAGACTTCTGGATAACCACTTGGTTTATCTATGGCAAATCCAGACACAAACGTGGACCCTCCAAATTCCCATGCTATGCCTCAAAAATAATTAGCTGAATTGTTTCTCTCCACTAACCAAATACCTCTGTTAAAAGAAAAACCTTAGACAAATTAAATTAAACAGAGTTTAGTTGAGTAAAGAATGATAGGCAAATTGGGCAGCCCCCAAACCAGAATAGGTTTGCAGATTCTCTAGCAATAATACATGGTCAAAGAAGATTTATGGTCAGAAAAAGGAAAGTGACATACAGAAAAATGGAAATGAGGTACAGAAACAGCTGGGTTGGTTACAGTTGGGAACTTGCCTTATTTGAACAGGGTTTGAATGGTTGGCCATCTTTGATTGGCTGAAACTCAGTGATTGGCATAAGAGTAGGTTACTATCTGTTTACCCAACCAGCTAGGTTATATGGCTCACTACATAAATAGAACTAAAGACAAAAACCATATGATCATCTCAATATATACAGAAAGGCTTCTGATAAAATTCAACATCCCTTCATGTTAAAAACCCAATAAACTAGGTATTGAAGGAATGTAACTCAAAATAATAAAAGCCCTCTATGACAAACCCAATGCCAATATCATATTGATCAGGAAAAATCTGGAAACATTATCCTTGAAAACCCAAACAAGACAAGAATACCCTCTCTCACCACTCCTATTCAACATAGTATTGAAGTTTAGCCAAGAGAAAGAAATTAAGGTCCCAAATAGGAAGAGAGGAAGTCAAACTATCCCTGTTTGTAGATGACATGATTCTATATCTAGAACTCTATAGAGTGTCATCCCAAAACTCCTTCAGCTGATAAACTTCAGCAGTTTCAGGGTATAAAATAAACATACAAAAATCACTAGCATTCCTATATACCAACAACAGCCAAGCCAAGAGCCAAATCAGGAAGGCAATTGCATTCACAATTGCCACACGTAAAAGAATGAAATACCTATGAGTAGGCAATACACCTAGGAATACAGCATATCAGAGAGGTGAAAGATCTCTACACCAAGGATTACTAAACACTTCTCAAAGAAATCAGATGACACAAACAAATGGAAGAATCAATATCATTAAAATGGCTGTACTACCCAAAGTAATTTTCAGATTAAATACTATTCCTATCAAATCACCAATGACATTCTTCACAGAACTGGAAAAAAGAAAATTTTAAAATTCATATGGAACCAAAAGCGAGCCCAAATAGCCAGGGCAATCCTAAGCAAAAAGAACAAAGCTGAAGACATCATGTTACCCAACTTCAAACTATATTACAGGGCTATAGTAACCAAAACAGCATAATGCTAGTACAAAAACAAACACATAGAACAAAGGAACAGAATTGAGAGCCCAGAAATAAGGCCACAGACCTATGACCATCTGATCTTCAACAAAGCTGACAAAAAAGCAACAGGGAAAGGATTCTGTATTTAGTAAATTGTGCTGAGATAACTGACTAGCCATATGCAGATTGAAATTGGACCCCTTCCTTACACGATATACAAAAATCAGCTCAAGATGGATGAAAGATGGTTTAAAATGTAAAACCCAGAGCTATAGAAAGCCTGGAAGATAACCTATGCACTAATATTCTGGTCATAGGAACTGGTAAAGATTTTATGACAAAGATGCCAAAAGTAATCACACCAAAAACCAAATTTTAAATAAGCTTCTCTTCTCCCAGGCCCCTGAGATTTGGCCCCTGCTCACCCTGAGCTAGCACACAGCCACTCCTCATTTTCTTCTGAGAATAGGCTGACCTCAGGCCAAATAATTAAATGATCAACTGTCTAATCACACCACCCACTCCACACTTATTTTTTTCTAGACTTATTTATTCCATAAGAGTTCTTTTCTGCCTGACTTTTGATATACTTACAGTTCTTATGATTAAAGATTTCTCCCTTTTGCAATAGTCTCCCTCCAGCTATTGCAAATAGTTCCTTCCCTGTGCTGCAATAATCCTTTGAATAAAGTTTTTTTTCTTAGCTATGTCCAGAAGTAGTTTTATTTGATAGTTAAATTTTTGAATTATTTCTCTAACCTGAACCAGCACAGTATGATTTATTTGCTCAATAATACATCATTAAATCTCTAGAATTGTTTCTTGGTTCTTTACAAAAGGAATACCATGATGTTGCATGGTATGTGGAGCAGAGTAGTTTACCTAATCTTTGTTCAGCATATGAGGGTACCCCTATGTGGGCTTGCTGCATCAAAGCTTACTTGATTTGTAGCCATGATAATTTTTTAAAATTAGCTTATTTATAATAGTTCAACTCAAGAATGATTCACATATGCTTAAAGGATATTTTCCTTTAACAGAATATATTTATAATTGGCCATAATTAGAAATTTTCAACATGTTCCAAATAATTTTATTCATTCTCCCTGTGAGTGACACATCCTTCCGTGTTGCAGATCATTTTTTTTTTCACAATTAAGCCTAATGGATGGTTTGGGGCTTGAGGTAATCACCAGTAAGTGTTGGTTGCAGGAGGCTTGAACTCAGAAATAGAAGGGCCAGGAGGTATAGGATCACATTTTCTGGGCTGGGATTCAACTGGAAGCACCCTAGAGCATGGTCCAGTGGAAGGACTCCTTGCTGGAGGGAGGAAAAAGCACTGACCTAGTCTAACTTCCAGGAGAGTTGTAAGCCTTCAAAACTTGTTATCCATGCTCCTTCTTGTTCATGACCTTCATCCTGAACTCTTCTGCCTCATCATTCTTAATAAATCTCAATTGCCCTACCAGTAACTGCCAAATCACACAAAAAATTCTTAGCATTCCAAGAAGTATTTTTGATGAAATAGTTTTGAAACTGTCAGAACGTGGGCTGATTCCTGTTAAAGTTCTATGAAATTTCTCCCCTTCTTTCCCAAGAAATGACTGAGATGTTTTGAATAAAGGCTTATGCTTAAGCTTCTTTTTGCTTGATTTCCTTTTACAGTATTCCCCAAATGCACACCCAAATAATGGAATGCCATTGCCTTTTGTTTATAATTCCAGAGCCCAGTAAAAATGGGTGATATGGTTTGAATCTCTGTTCCTGCCCAAATCTCATGTGAAATTGTAACCCCCAATGTTGGAGGTGAGGCCTGATGGGAGGTGGTGTGATCATGGAGTTAGATCCTTCATAAATGGTTTAGCACTATCCCTGTGGTGCTGTTCTCATGAGATCTGTTTATTTAAAGGTGTGTGGCACAACCCCCTTCCTCCTGCTCCAGCAATGTAAGACACGCTTGTTCCGCCTTTGCCTTCTGCCATGATTGTAAGTTCCATGAGGACTCCCCAAAAGCTGTTATCAGCATGCTTCCTGTACAGCCTGCAGAACCATGAGCCAATTAGACCTATTTTCTTTGTAAATTACCCAGTCTCTTGTATTGCTTTACAGCAGTGCAAGAATGAACTAATACAGAAAATTGGTACTAAGGAGTGAGGCAATGCTCTAAAGATACATGAAAATTAGGAAGTTACTTTGGAACTGGGTCACAGGCACATGTTGAAACAGTTTGGAGGGCTTAAAAGAAGATAGGAAGAGGAAGAAAAGTTTGGAACTTCCTAAACACTTGTTAAATGGTTATGCCTCAAATGATGATAGGCATATAGACAATGAAGTCGAGGCTGATGAGGTCTCAGATAAAAATGAGGAACTTCTTGGGAACTGGAGTAAAGGTCACTTTTATTATGTGTTAACAAAGGAGTTGGCTATATTTTGCCCCTGTCCTAAGATCTATGGAACTTTGAACTTGAGAATGAAGTTGGCTGCATTTTGCCCTTGCCCTAGAAATCTGTGGAATTTTGAACTTGAGAATGATGATTTAGGGTATCTTGCAGAAGAAATTTCTAAGCGGCAAAGCATTCAAAATGTAATCTGACTGCTTCTAACAACCTATGCTTATATAAGTGAGCAAAGAAATAACTTAAACTGGAACTTTTATTAAAATGGGAAACAGAGCATAAAAGTTAGGGAACTTTTTTTTTTTTTTTTGAGACAGAGTCTCGTTCTTTCGCCCAGGCTGGAGTGCAGTAGCACGATCTTGGCTCACTGCAAGCTCCGCCTCCCAGGTTCACACCATTCTGCCTCGGCCTCCCAAGTAGCTGGGACCACAGGCGCCCATCACCACGCCTGGCTAATTTTTTGTATTTTTAGTACAGACGGGGTTTCATCATGTTAGCCAGGATGGTCTCGATCTCCTGACCTTGTGATCCATCCGCCTCGGCCTTCTAAAGTGTTGGGATCACAGGCATGAGCCACTGCGCCCGGCCAAGTTTGGGAAATTAGAAGCCTGACCATGTGGTAGAAAAGAAAAGCCCATTTTCTGGGGAGGAATCCAAACAGGCTGCATAAATTGCATAACTAAAAGGAAGATAAATGCTAATATCCAAGACAATAGGGAGAAAGCCTCAAAGACATTTTAAAGACCTTCCCTGTAACCCCTCCCATCACAGGCCCAGAAGTCTAGGAAAATTAAACGGTTTCCTGGGCCAGACCCAGGGCCCAGCTGCCATCCCTTGAGACACTGCTTCCCACATCCCAGTCACTCCAGCTCCACTTGTGACTCAAAGGAACCCAAGTACAGCTTAGGCTACTGCTTCAGAGGGTGTAAACCATAAGCCTTGGTGGCTTTCATCTGGTGTTACGCCTGCTGGTGCACAGAATGAAAGAGTTGAGGCTTGAAAACCTCCACCTAGGTTTCAGAGGATGCATGGAATAGCCTGGATGCCCAGACAGAAACTTGCTGCTTTTCATGGAGATCCTTTACTACAGTGCAGAGAGAAAATGTGAGGTTAGAACCCCCACACAGAGTCCCCACTGGGGCACTATCTAGTGGAGCTTCAGATCAGTACCATCATCCTCCAGACCCCAGATTGGTAGATCCACCAATAACTTGCACCCTCAGTCTAGAAGAGCCACAGACACACAACACCAGACCTTGAGAGCAACTCTGGAGCCTGAACCCTGCAAAGCCACAGGGGTGGAGCTGCCCAAGGCCTTGGGAGCCTACCTTTTGCACCAATATGCCCTGGATGTGAGAAATGGAGTCAAAGGAGGTAATTTTTTGGAGCTTTAAGATTTAATGACTGCACTGCTGGGTTTTGGACTTGCATGGGGCCCTTAGCCCCTATTTTTGGCCAATTTCTCCCTTTTGGAATGGGAGTATTTACCTAATGCCTATAGCCCCATTGTCTGTTGGAAGTAAATAGACTGTTTTTGATTTTACAGGCTCACAGGCAGAAGGGACTAGCCTTTTATCAGATGAGATTTGGACTTTTGAGTTAATGCTAGAATAATTTAAGAATTTGGGGGACTCTTGAGAAGTCATGATTTTATTTTTAAGTATGATAAGAACATGAGATTTTGGAGGGGGCAGGGGAGGAATGATATGGTTTGAATTTGTGTCCCCAACCAAATCTCATGTTGAAATGTCATCCCCAATGTTGGAAGTGGGGCCTGCTGGAAGATGATTTGATCATGGGGGTAGATCCTTTATAAATGGTTTAGCACCATCGCCTTGGTGCCATTCTCATGACAGAGTTCTCAGGAGATCTGGCTTTTTAAGAGTATGTGGAACCTCTCTCCTCTCTCTTCCTCCTACTCTGGCCAGGTAAGACATGCCTGCTCCTGCTTTGCCTTCCACTATGATTATAAGTTCCCTGAGGCCTCCCTGTAAGCTGATGTCACCGTGCTTCCTATGCAGCCTGCAAAACTGTGAGCTAATTAAACCTCTATTTTTTAAAATAAATTACCCAGTCTCAGGTATTTCTTTATAGCAGTGCAAGAATGTACTAATACAGTGGGGAAAATTAAAATCAATCAGGGTTGATGTATTAGTAGGCTCACTTGTATTTACTTTAAGAACCAAGTAGTAACGCATGCTCTATCAATTGCTTTGGGTCAGAGAGTAGAGCCTATTTGGTGCTGATAAACCATGAAGTTAATATTATGACTCTTACAGTTGTATCTGGTTTGTTAAATGCTGTTAGTCATCATTTTAAATAATTGTTAAGTGAACCCAATGTCTATCTGCATGGACTTAATAATCATATTTTCTAAGATCTTTTTTGGACTCCCTATGTCACACTCTCCCTATTTTGTACTTTAGAAATATTTATTGACACTATATTGTTTAGTTGCTTCTGTCCTTCCCTTTCAGACTATGATCATTTTAAAGGAAGAGATCTGTTTTGTTTATCTTTGTAAACCAATACCTAATAAGGCACCATCACAGATAAACGACTAAACTAATGAATAAATGAATTAGGCTAGATAAACCAAACACAAGAGAAAGGTAGGAAATTCACATAAAAGTGGACATAAGAGTAATAGGACTTTATGAAGCCTCCTGTAGGAATAATTGTAATGAATGGTGGAGTGGGAGTGATAAGAAAATAAAGAATAAACATTAGGGATTATTTTTCTATGTTGAACTCTTGCAGAAAGGATGTGATTTTTCTTTTTGCCCTATTCTATTCTGAAGATATTTTAAAAAATCATTTAACAGCAGCCTACTGATTGCTCATTAACATATCTGGTTTCTAAATGTGTAATTCTCCCTCCAATGATAAAACAAAGTTGTTTAAGTGTTGGGAAATAATGGCTAAAAGGAAGACAAAAGTGCCATTTTCTACCTTCAACTGCATCATTAACTCACCTTGTGAGTTGCACACATTATTTAATTCTCTTGCCTCAGTCAGCTCAGGTGTAAAACTGGGTGAAAACTATCACTGATGGTCCACATGAGTGGTTTGATTAAAGATGTCCAAGCAAATTAAGTGAGATTAAATTTAAAGTGCCTTCTGAGACTGAAATGAACTCAAACTAAACACTTCATAAAGTTGTTGAAGTCTATCTATAGTTATCAGAAAATTACTCTATTTCTTTTGAAAGTTCCATGAAACTTTAATAGGATAAAGCAAATTTATAGCAGGTAATTTGTTTCCAAAAAGATGCTCCGCCTCCATTTTTCTCTAGGAAAATTTAGATCCTATGGACTTAAATATCATTGCAAATCTATTCAGACTTGCAAGCCCTTATTGGGTTCCCCTGTGATCTAGGTTTCTTCCTATCCTCCTCCTCCTCCTGCCCCTCTTCCTCCTCCTATTCCTCTCCCTCCTCCACCTCTTTCTTCTTCTTCTCCTTATCCTCTTATCCTTCTCTTTCTTCCTCTCCTTCTTCTTCTCCTCCTTCACCTTCTTCTGCTCCTCCTTCACCTTTGTCTGCTCCTCCTCCTTCACTTCCTTCTACACCTCACTCTCCTACTCCATTTGCTACCACTGTATTTTTAACTGGAATGTTTTAATGGATATAGGTTGCCCATAAAAAGTTTCATTTGAATACTCTTATTTTACTGATGTGGACATTGAGGCAAAACTGAGTGAAAGTTATTAGAATATTACTGTGAATTAATAGGTAGAAGAGAGAACAAATTAAACAGTGTAAGTTTTGTATTACTTCTAAAAACTTAAAAAGAAAATGGTCGTCTAGATTTTTAAGAAGGAGGAATTATAAAACTAGAATTTTTGTATGAAGCATATTGTCTGCAATATAACTTACATTAAAGGGATAACATGAATACAAATTCTGGGTATCTAAGTGATTTAAAAGCACAAAATAACATAAAATTAGTAAATGACCCAGAAGACAGATTAAAAAAGCTCATTTCATAAGTTTAAAAAGTAGAGACTAATTTAATGTCACATATGTCTATTTTATTGAAAAACTAAGAATGGATTTAAATTCAGCAAGTATATGTTTAGATAAACTTTCACACTTAGACACATCTTTTGAGGTAGAAATATGAATCTATTTTCATTTCATCAGTTACTAGAAACAAATACCACTAGAGAGTTGTAGTTATAAACAACTTTCCTATATTGACTAAAGTGAGTTCAAAAAAATGACTGTATATTTAGATTTAACTTTCGACATCTTAGTATTTGAAGAGCTTACTTGAAATTTACTGGGTCTTTCTGCTGAACACAGTGAAGCACACAAGCTATTAAAATAACAATTTTAAATGAGATTTTTTTAATTGACATTTTTAATCATGCAGGCTAATTTTTTTTTTTTTGCTTGTATTTCTACGCCTCATGCATCATTGTGTTTTCTGACACTGACTGATAGCCAACTTGGCAAATTTAATCTCACATACAAGTTTCAATGAAGTTTCATGTCTGGACTGATATAAATGCATTGGAAGTACAGCATATGTTGTGGACCCAGGCCCCACAGATGCATCATGTAAGTCTTTTGTCCTTTAAAAATACTCTAATAAGTGTAATTTATGAAATATCAATCAGTACCATGATGGCTTCTGGAATGCCTGACACACCAGAAGTATGACTCTAGGCTCTACTCTCAGACTTAGAACAAACATAGTCAAAATTGATAATAAGATATGAAGCAAAAAGTCAGCTTAGGGAAAATGTTCAGTTTATTTTATAACTTTACACTTGACTAACAAACATTTTACATCTTTTACATATGCTTGTTTATTTTTATTAGAAAATATTTTAGAAATTTATTTTTTTCTAATGTCTAAGTGAATCTTAGTACATCACTTAGTAACCCTTCTGATTCTCAGCAGCTGTCTGCAGATTCTGTGTTTGTCTTATAAACACTCATAGCAGTCTACACAGCTGACCATACCTTCCATTTTGAAGCCCTGTCTATCTCCCCGCCAACAGCTTTTAGCTTAAGGTGAAAATACACTGAGAGTTTTTTTTTTTTCCCTGTTTCTTTAATCAATTATTCTTACTCTCCTTTCTCAGATATTCCCCTTCTAACCTCCCTTTAATTATAGGTATTTGCAGTCTTTTGTCCTCTCCCATCTCCCTGTTTGTGACTATCAATACTATGGTTCTTACCTGAAATATATATTCAAATGTATATTTTAAATCCAGCTGTTCCCTTACCATTTCAAATTTCCTGCTTGCTTTTCACTGTTGCATAGCCTACAAACATCCCAATCTTTTGACTTTTCTCTTTCTGAGGACAGCCAAATTCAGAGAGCTCTGGAGACTCATTTTCTCTCCTGTTTTAGGAGTTTAGCAAGTTTTGTTCAGCATATCTGAGCTATCACAAAGGAAGTCCAGACAACTGAGTTCCAGAGGTACCCATTATGAAGCCTTTTTCTTTATCAGCGAACTTACATTATTCAGTGGTCAAGAAAATGTTTCTTCAACATCAATTACCTACGAATATGTAAAACAATGGGTAAGAGGGCCCCTTTGTTGGAAAATGCTGTTTAGTGAAGCAAGCTATACCTGATCCAAGCATGCAACTTAGAGGATAGTGAGAAGACAGGGACCCATGAAGTGTGCTTCTACTCTACTAGTAAATTTCTCCAGAAAACCTTATCTTACCCTTACATTATGGGTCCCCTGAACATGTAATCCTTCTTCCCAAATAAGCTTATTTCTTAGTAAATGGCACCCATTAATTACTTAATGTTTTAAGCTGTGGGTAAGGAGTCTCTCTTTTTTTTTTAACTATACTTTAAGTTTTAGGGTACATGTGCACAACGTGCAGGTTTGTTACATATGTATACATGTGCCATGTTGGTGTGCTGCACCCATTAACTCATCATTTACATTAGGTATATCTCCTAATGCTATCCCTCCCCCCTCTTTATTTCTTCTTCTCCTTCACTTCCACATTCTACCAATTATCTTGTTTAATTAGCTTCCAAAATATATTTTAAATTTGTCCCCACATCCCCATCTCCAATGACCTTCCTCTAGCCACATTCACTATCAACTCTACTTTAATTGCTGCAACAGTCTCCTAACTGATTGTTTGGGACTTGCACTTACCACTCCAATCTATTCCCCAAAAGCAGCAAGCAGCAAAAGTGGTCAGTCCAAACATAAACTGGATTATTTCACTTCCCAGCTTAAAACCAGTGGCTTCCAGTGACTTAAGCTAGCATTCAGATTTCTTACCGAGGCATGTTGGACTTCAATACGGATCCTACTTTTCTCTTTAACCTCATTTCACATCCTTCTGGCCACCATTGAGCTTCAGTAACTTCTAGCTTTATTCTTTTCTTAGATCAGGTGATAGTCGTTTCTGCTCCACTACCTTTATGCATGCCATCTCCAATAATGGAGACTGCTTGCAAAAAGCACCTGCTCCTGGCCACCTTCCTGCCAATTATCTACTTCACACGCAAAAGTATTTTTAATATTGTAGGTTTCAGAATAGATATTTCTTTCTCCAAAAAGGCATTTTAAATAACCCTATGTAAATTAGCACCCCTACTACTTTATTTCAACAGTTTTATAGTTTTGTTATTTTTTGTCATGTTGGTACTTAACATTAATTTAGAATATTCATGTTTAACATTTATGGGAGTAATATGGTTATATAATCTGAGTAGTATAGTGTACTTTATATGTATTGTATAGAGACAGTTAATCAATTCTCAACTTAACCTATCATTTCTTGATTTAAACAAAAATCCAGACATACTTGTTTGCAGATATCTGGGTTTTGTGGATTGTTGTCGAGATTTGGTGGCCAGAATTAATAAAGCATAAGTCTAATCTTGTATTAACTGTTACCTTACCCAAACTGATTTCATTTTGATAACGTGTATCTTACATGAAGCCGTGTACAAGAGGATGGTTATCTTAATCACCTTTAGGAGAAAATATATCTTATAGTATGTTTTGATATGAACTAAAATTGAAAACAACATTAAAATGTGAGGTTTTGAATAAAAGTTTATTTCAAGTTATAGTTAAGTTCTTCTGGACTTTATTTTATTAGTCTTTATATTTCCTCCAAAAGCTATCTTTGAATCAGAAATGTTTGAATACTAGAGTTTCTTTTGCTTTAAGAAAATTTCATGGCTTCTTTCATTATTTTTACTGAAGTAGACATCAGAAGACCTTATAGTTTGAATTTTTAAAGCCATCTTTGGCTTTTTGAGATTTCTTGGTAAAGAACAGAGCTTATTCTGTGCTGTGAAAATAGGTCGAGAAATGTTCTCATCTCTACTAAAAGTGTTCCTTTTGGAGAATGCCTCAGGAGTGATTCTGATGTTAATTCTGTACCCATCATCTCTCCACATAGGCTGCAGCTTCTGTAAGGGGAGCTATACAGGTTTAAACTCGAGAAAACTCTGAACTCAGGGAACCTGAGGGGGAGTGTGTCTTGGATGCTCTGGAGAACAGTGTAAGCAGAGACACAGCTGAGCACTGTTGTCGCAGTCTGAAAACTAAGGGAAGGCAGGTATAGGAGGAAAGGTGCTCATAGGAGCAATCTAATAAATTTGACTGGTTATTGACTTTGATTGGGTGCATTTTAAAAGGACTTTTTGTGATATTTGCTTTACAGTGTTGTAAAGACATTTAATATACTTGTTTTCTGTTGAATAGCATCATCTCTGGCATAGCTACCACATCTGAATGATTTAAAAATAAATTCTGAGGGCTCATATTCACAAAGAATACAGTTAGTAATATATTCCCTAGGGAACCTAGAAAACAGAAGTGGTTTATTAACCTGCATCTGTTGTGTGGGTGAGTGTATATACAAAAACACACAGAGTGAATATAAAGTACATATAGAATACATTTTAATACCAATGGCAGACATGACGAACTTGAACATACACTACAATTATTGTTCACATAGGGATACATACATATATGAGAGACACAGACATATATTTATATATGTATGTATATATACATATATGAGAGATACATACGTATATGCATATACATGTGTATATACATACATATATGCATGTGTCTCGATGTGTATTTATATACATGTATACATGTATCATATATGTAATATATGTATAGCTATAATATATACATATTAAGCTTATATATGTGTGTATAATATGTATACACATATGTGCATATTATATATGTGTATCTATATAAACTTAACCTGAGAGAAGCTACTCGAGGGAAGAAAAAGTGAGTTATCTTTGTATGCCAAAAACCTGAATCTCTTTTTTATGATTAAAAATGAAACAAACAACTCTTCACTATAGCTATATTTAAATATTCTCTTACACTGAAGAGAATATAGCTTTAGCTATATTTAAATATTTTCTTACACCGAAGATGTCTCCAGTGATTCAAGGAGGCATAACAACTACTTCATGTGGCCATAAGGTATAAAGTCCAATTCATTCTGAGATGCTTAAATTTCTACAGCAAACTTATGTTTTTCATTTGAAGTTCATATTGTCATTACGCTGTAGTCTCTAGTACTGATTCTAGTGGCCTTTTAATGTTCTTTTTATTATTTCTTATTCTCTGTCTCCAAAAAATGACACTCTATTGCTATTTTTTTGCCATCTCATTTTTCCTTAACCAGATCATTTCAACCAGCCTGTTCTAAAAAGGCTTGTTAATAGAAGAAATTTTAAAAAACACATTAGTAAACAAAACCACAAGAAGAAAACCCCTCACACTCATTAGAATGGCTACTATATCAAAACAAATTATTCACAATGGTCAAATGATGGGAGAAACTCAAGTTTCCATGGGTGTGGATGAATTAACAAACAAAATGTGTTGTATACATAAAATGGAATATTATTCATCCCTAAAATGAAAGAAAATTCTGACATACTACAACACGGATGAACCTGCAGGACATCAAGCTAAAAGACATAAGTCAACCACAAAGGTACTCTATTTGTATGTGGTATTTAGGATAATCAAATTCATGGAGATAGAAAATAGAATGATGGTTACCAGGAGCCAGGGGTAGAATGTGGAGTTGTTTTTTAGTGGGTGTAGAGTTTCAGTTTTGCAAGATGCAAAGAGTTCAGGATATTGGTTTCACAACAATGTGAGTGTCCTTAGCATTACTGGACTATACACTTAAGAATGGTTAAAATGGTAAATTTTGTGTTTTGTGTATTTCACCATAATTGAAAATCTAAAAAGAAATAAACATTAGTGAAATCAAGCAATGGACTTAATTCAGAAGCTCTTGCATACATTCTATCAGGATGCTAAATTTTGTTTGCTTTTTCTTATGTAATTGTTTTCACTGTGACTAGCACTATGCTTTTATATTAGTATTTGGTGACTAGTTTGCAATAAGCTAAGTTAAAAGTTTCATGTGAAAATGTTTTTCATACCTTAGTATTATAATTATTTATTCCATGTAGAGGATAGACATTTTATACATTTGTTTTGTCATTTATGTCTAAATAAAATACATATAAATGCAAACTCTTTGTATTTAGTAGCATATAACATGGTGGTTGCAACTGGACTTTAAAGACTGGTAATAAGAAACATATGGATAGGCATGCATATATAGTTTATTGTCAGAATATTTTTGGAAAGACAAGGATTTACCAATGTAAATTTACTGGCTAATTATGATTTCACAAATAGGGCCTTTGTATACAATTTTTCAATCACATCCTTTGTGTAATGTCTATACACTGCAGTGTAGTGTCTACAAGGGGCGTGCATGATGTTCTCTTTATGAGTTTTTCAAGAATCAGGAGTAGAAAGCAGAATCCCAAATTCTGAAATAAATTATTTAAACCTCAAAGGAAATTATGCTGACCAAGTATATAGCCATTCAGAGGCACTAAGGAGGGTTGAGTTCTCTGAAAATTGAGCTTTATTATTGAATAAAGCTTATTGAAACGAGAAATCATTTTAGATAGTACACTTGCCAGGGGTATTTTGAAGAAAATGACTTTGTTCATATGAAGCAATACTTTTCAGGGGTCGTTTGATAAATACTATTCTTAACTCATTTTCTCCTCTCTGCCTTATTCTGAACCACATTATTCTTCAGAGACATATATATGTCTACTAACACAATACAGCATATTACAAAGGAAGAAGAAAAGACTTATCCTTTAAAATGTATAAATTTTTCTATAAACATTAGCATTTAATTAATAATAAATATGTGGTAACACTGGGTTATAGTATTATTTACAAATAAAGGCCTCATTCTATACCAATTCTTTCAAAAGGCTTAACCAGAATAAGTTAAATATATCTTACCTCTACTGTGAAAAGGATTTCACTTTTGTTATTTAAAACATCAGCAATGAAAAAGGCTGTAATTTTCAAAGCTAATTGTGAAAAATGTGTGTGGTTATTGGAACTTGATTGTGGAAAATAAAAATCTTAGCTAAAGAATTACACTGACTTACGCTGACTGTATTTCCAACTAATATCTGTAGAGTCAGAGTTGCTCCCTATAAAGAAGTGAACAAAATGCTGACTTTTTTTTTTCTGGAAAATGATCTAATTGGCATAGGTGTCAATAATTAATCTAGTACTTTTGTTATGCTACAGAAAAAAAGAACTGCCAAGGATAAAATGTTGATAAAACTAGAGAGGCCTTACTCCCTACTTCCTAACTGCACTTTCATTCTTCTTTTAGCAAATGGTTACTGAGTGCTCCTGGTGTGTTATGCACTGCATTAAGTTCTGGGAATATAAACGTGAGTAAGAAAAACAGACTGAATGCAGTGAGAAGAACTATGTGTCAAGTGACTGGAGATAGGATGTGAGGGGCTACTTGAACAGACTTACGTCAAGTAAGTGAGTTAGTGAGCCATTTGGACACTTGTAGGAGGTGCTCTAGACAGAAAGAATAACTTGTGCAAAAACTCTGAGTGAAAGTGTGTGTGTCATATTTGAGAAATAGCAATGGGACCAGTAGGACTGGAGCAGGATGGACAATTAACAGATTATACATATGGCCGTGACCATGGAAAGGTCTTTGGAATTTACCCTGAGAGGGGAAATCTGAAATGTTTTGAGAAGAGCAGTGAAATAATAATCTTAATTACGTTTTAACAAGGTTATTCTGGTTTGTGTCTTAATAGCAGACTGCTAAGGACAGAATAAGAGAAACAAGGTAGGAGATTATTGTAATAGTTTCCTGTGTGCCGTAGTGACTTAGATCAGTCTGTTAGCAGTGAAGGGTTGAGTTAAAGAGTTTATGGAAGGTAAAATTAACAGGGTTTACAGATAGATTAGCATGATAATAAGAGAAGAGGCAAGGATGACTGCAAAATTTTGGCCTGAGCAAATGGAAATATTGAGTTCCCAAATATTAAGAAGAGAAAGATGAGAGAAAAGCGGATTTGGGAGGAAAATCAGGAAATTGGCTTTTGGCATAATGTATTTGTGAGATAGTGTTAGGTCTACCAATCAAGATGTCAAGTAGGCCGTGGCTGATACAATTCTAGATTTCAGGGAAAATAGTGGTCCAACTGGGAGATATGCAGTGTGTAGCTATCAATAGATACATAGTATTTAAGTTAGGAGACTGGATGAGAACATACATAGTATTTAAGTTAGGAGACTGGATGAGAACATTTAGTGAATTAGTCTTAATAGAAAAGAGTAAAAGTCCTAAACTTGAGCCCGGGGATCATTTTGACACTTAGAGGTTAAGAAAGCAAGATGGCAGCAGGCAGTAAGGAAGAAGGAGAACTAAGAGAGACTGTTGTCTTTGGGGCTGCCTGGTACATTAGGCAGGTCAAATCTAATAAAAGCATGCCTGCTTAGGGGGCAAGAGGAGGCTGAATTCTAACAAGTGTCCTATCAACCAAGTCATAAGTTTTTACTCAGAGCTACATCTGCCTGAGGGAAGTGTACCTTTTACTAATTTAAACAGTTGTCTTATAAGCTAGCTGCCACTAAAGCGAAGTGAAGAGAGTATTTCAAGACAGATTCAGCATCACCATCAGATGTTGTATATTGCCAACACGGTAATGTTTATCAACTGACCATTGCTCCACAACTTATGATGGGGTTCCATCCCAGTAAAGCCATCATACGTCATAAATATTGTAAGACGAAAATGCATTTAATACTGACAACACAGCAGATAGACCCAAGTTATGATTGTCTGACTTAGGATTTATTGATTTGTATTTGGATACATGTAGGCCAATTGTGGCAGCCTGATTTGGTAAAATCAAAAGAAAAATTGCTTTTAATTTTAAAAAGGAGGTAGTGGAAAAGACAAATACATGAAAATATTTGGGGAAAATTTTGCTTTAAAAGGAAGCAAAGAAAATGATGGGATGCCTGGAGGCAGATATAGGGGTTAATGAAGAACAGAAATAATTTTGTTTATTAATGGGCAAGAAAAACATGATATAAAGTAGGGGACAATTACTATTCATCACTGCTCAACAGGTGATAGGTCTTGTACAATATTGGAGCAGTTGACTTCAGAAACGAAGATGAACATATCATCAAGAATAACATGAGCAAGATCAAAGTATGGCTGCAACTGCAGGAGGATAATGGATGTAGTTTGGGGAGCCTATGAAAAATATCTTTTGAATACTTTTATTTCTCAGAGAACTAGAAATCCAAAGCTTAATAATCTAAATAAGAAGGATTATGCATTTATGGAGGTTTTCTTAGAGATGAAATGTAAAAATATGTTCCTAGGAAAGTGGAAAGTAAATACAGTAGGTATATTTATGGGAGAAAGAAATTACTGGCTCTAGATTTAAAATGATACCCCTATTGGCTTGGTTCTTCTCTAAAGACATATTCATCTGATTTGGTCCAGACAAAGTAGGTAGACCAGATTTAGCCAGAGAAATATAGCAAAGGATATTTGTAATGGAATGAGTGTAAGAATGGGTTGTTGAATCTAAACAGCTATGTGAAGGGAGAAGTGGATGTGCAGTGGAGGAGGCACAATGAGAAGATTGAAGGTCTCAATGAGGTCAAAGACTTTTGGGAGTTAAAGAATTAGAATGAGTGACACTTAAAATTTAGGGGGTAGTGGACAGAGACCTGGATGCTGGGAACTGAGGTTACCTTGGGAGTAGAGTTCTTGGTAGTTTTAGTTCTGGGCTCATTCGATTTACACTGGCCATGGAATGCACCTGTGGAGACAGAAAAGCAATCCGGAAGCAATCCGGAAAAAGATAGGAATCATCAGTATTTAAATGGGCAATGGATTTATACGGATAAATGAGATCGGGATTGTATTAGGGAACGCAACTCCAAAGAATATCCTTATTTTGAGATTGCCTTGGAGGAGGAGAATACTGATCAGACCTAGAAGGTATATTTGCTATTTAAGAAAGCAGTACAGAGTATAGAAACCAAATTTTGTAAAACGCTTTTACATGAAAAATCAGGGCACACGGTTGTCTATTAGATTAAGGTATGAGGAGGATTTGAAGAATAAGCGAAGTAGTTGGGGCAAAATTAGTTTTTTGCAGTTGGGGGAGTGGAAGAGAGGTAGGGAAGAAGAGGTCATGAATGCAACAACTGAATGCAAAACACTCAAGAAGTTTGGCTGTGAAGGGGTGAAGACATAGAACAAGGGAGTTGGCATGAGTTGTGGTTGGGAGAAGCATTTCTTTCCAGATTAATAAACTCGAACAGTTAAAGAAATAATGTAATTAGCAAGAAAAGATTATAAAAAAAGAATGCAACCAGTAAGAAAAGTCTCAAGGAAAAAGAAGAGCCACACACATATCACAGTGGTTGACTTGCAATTTGTGTGCTCTCGAGTCTAACTCCTGAGTTGTGCTCTCAACCACATACCATAAAATCTAAACTGGAAATAAATACCATTAAACTATTAGAATGCAAAGAAATCACGTTACTTTAAAAATACCCATTAAGTAGATGTGAATTCAGAATCAAGTTTCTCTGAGAAACTTTCCAAGAAACTACAGAAAACCAAACCAAAACAACAAAACACACACACAAATTGTTTTGTGGTTGTTATATTAATTTACAAAATGCATACCAACAAATATTAACAGACATTGCTCAAGGCAATATACTTGTGTCTTTTGTCTCCAACTAGCAATAATTTGTATTACTTCGTTAAGGGAAAAATCATAAATCATATATGCTGGAGCTTTTGTTAGAATGATATATGCATTATCCCTGTCTTCCTAAATATTACACAAGTCTTATTCTAGTGTGCACAGCTGCTAAATCATTATTCTCTGCATGAGTAATTGTTGCAGATGTTCATAGTGATTAATAGGGAACAGCTATATTTATGGTGATTTTAGCTTTGTGACTACACAATTATGATTGTTCTTAGCACAAAGTGCAACCAGATTGTGATGTTAGGATATGGGCTCCTGGTTGACTACCATTGTTCACTGCTTTAGACCTGCAGTGTTCTTCTCCAATCCTTACCTCTCCCAACCACTGACATGATCTTACCCTATCTATACACTTTAAGAGATATTTTATAGCAGAGATATTTTTGAATTACCTTTAAGCATACCAAATGTCACAGATAAATTTTGCTCCGTCTTATTTTGAATGCAAATACAGCACCCAAAAAGAAGATCACCAAATGATTCTTTGGGGGTGTATTTATTTATGTTTTCATTTGATAACTTTCATGTTTAGTTGTTGTATTTATGTTTTTTTAAGTGATTACTAGAAAATAAACCTTTCGTGAAAGATTGACCAGGTAAATAAACTGGGTCAAAGAGGCAGCATAAAATGCGCAACAGAGCAGACCGTTTTTTTTGTATTTTGTCTGCCGGTTTTTTAATTTGAATCCTCTTCTGACTTTACCAGTTACAACATGATCAACTTCCCAGCTTATCTGGAATAAAGGACTTTAAGATTTAAAACTGGGGCATTCCTGGGCAAATAGGACAAGCTGATCACCCTACAGCTGGGTGAATTTGCCTTGTTGCTTAACCTTTTATGCTTCATACATTTTCTCACGTGTAAAATGAATTAACTTGGCAAATCACTCATTACAATAATGGTCAAATGGCACATGCGTATGTGATAGTTCCTTCTCTATTCCTCTTGTTGATTTCAAACTACCTTTAACAATAAAGAGTGGAGAGCAGGTATTTTTCTTTTTGAATCATTCTTCATTTTACACAGCATGCTGACACATAGGCCAGAATAATACTTGGCACCCAGACACTTAGTGGGTGCTTGACAAACACCTGCTAAATGAATGAAATCCTATGATTGATTTGGAGATATCTAACAATCAAAGCATTGTTATATTATTATTAGAAAAGGAAGAACTAAAGAACCCCTCTTCACTGTTTATTTTTTCACCAATATTGTAGCTTCCTCTAGGTCAGGGTTCAATGTTTTCATTGTCACACATCTAAGGAGAAAAATTAAATTAAATTAAATGCTTCCTAATAAGAAAAATTAAATACTAAGGAATACGATTTTAACAGATGGTGTTGAGCCACAAATCATTGTAGTACATACAATTTATTGTCTTCTTCCCTAAGAATTAATTTTACTTCACTGGAGACAATATGGCTCCTGTGGAGGAAAGTCACATGGGCCACTTTAACTAAATGTTATGCTTATTGATTTGCAGGGGTTACTTCAACTGTATAATAGTATTTTAAGAATGGTAATTCATATACTCCACTGAGGATTATTGATCACATACTATCTATATCCTGCTGAATTAAGTACCAGAGTGAGATAGAGAGGCCTGTAACATATTCTGGAAGTGGAAACTAGTTCATTGGTGCAAACACCAGCCTAGAGGCCACAAATGGCTCTTCTACTATTAACTGTGTGTCCGTGAGCAAGTCTATTAACCTTTTGAGCCTCCTTTCTTCGTCTGTACAGTGAGATTAACAAGTAATTTACAGTATATTTAAATTAAAAGCAGACTTTAAAGCATAACTGAAACAAAAAGGTGGTATCACTTTGAAAAATTCCAAGAACTGTAGAGGTTTATGCTATGTACAAGCCAGGCATACAGTCCTGTTTTAGAGCACTATGGATGGTCAGAACAGTAGAACTTAGAGAAGAAAAACAGGGCATAGGCTGCAATGTCCCTGTTCTTCCAGAAGGTCTCCCTGGAGAGCTGGGAGCAAAAAGGCTTGTGGCAGGGATCTGGAGAACAGCCCAGGTAACTGCCTGAAATACTTTTGGAAGAAGGTAGCCTGGAAGGAAATCGATTCATTTCTACCACATATGGTAGAGAGATGGAGGCTAGTGAGAGCATCATATTGAGAAAATGTTGAGAATATTTAGGATGACATTTATAAACAAAGAAGAAATAATTTAGTTCAACTACATTTTTATAGAAACTGGATTAGAAAAGCATAATGTGTTTCATAGTGTTAATTAGGAAGCTAAGGAAATAGAAGTGAATTCAGCCTGTTTGTTGTTGTTGACAAGGTTTGTTGCAGAAGTAGCAGCTGCTTCAGTCTGTGGGGATTCCTTTAGGGCACAGAGGTTTAGCTGGAATCCCAGTGAGCACTTCCAACCCAGCAGTTTAATCATTTAATCCAAACCTGATCCTGAGAGCCTGGCCCATTGCCTTTGATCAAGCAACTATTGCTTGGCAGCCATCACTTGACTTTGCTGCCTGTTGGGCACCGTCCCACGTGTTATTTACTCTCTATGTTGTGGGCTTGGTTTGCTGACATATTCACTGCTCGACATAATCTATGGATTTGATGCCCTTTCCTCAAATAAGGACATCTATAAAATTGGCTGACAATACTTCCCATTTGGAGATTAAGAATTTGAAAAGGAGGAGACAGGTAATTGTCATCACTGGGTAGCAAATAGCCACTTTTTGGCAAAGCTAACAGTTCCTTTGGCATCATGTAAAAGTTCTAGAAAAGCTGGCCAGGTAATGATGCAAGTCACTGCACCTGAGTAATTAAAATTTTGATGTCTTGTGAAATGCTTTATATTTCAATTTTTCCCAAAAATATTAGTTTGTGTTTATAGTCCTTGCTTAACATTTTATTTTACTTTATCTTTTGTAAAGTAAAAAAAAAAAAAAGCAGAAGAAAATGTTTAAGTCTTATAAAACCAAGGTTAAAAGCAGAAGAACTGAAAAGAAGGAAACACTTTGAGCATAATAGCATAAGCCCTTCCTAAAAGTGGGGAAGTGCCGAACAGCATAGCTATCAGGTAATTGACTCTGGAGATAGTTTCCTTAGGTTTGATCTCCAGCTGGCAACTTACTAGTTGTGTGAGCTTGCTCAATTACTCAACTTCTGTGTACTTTCTTTTCTTCATCCATAAAATGGTGATAATATTACTACCTACGTCATCATCATAAGGTTGCTGTATTATATTAATTTAATAAGGTTGTCATGAGGATTAAATTGGCTCATCTACATGAAGCTCTCATAAGAGTGCCTGGTACAGAATACCAGATTGATTATTCCTAATATTAACAAATTATCTATAATGTTAGGGTGGATGCATTTTCCGATATTCCTACTACACCAAATATAGTCAAGAAATGTCATTTTAAGGATAAGCAAGAATATCCCTTTAGCAAAATCCTGGGAATATTTTTAACTTATGTTATGCTATTATATGCCATTAATATTACATTTTTATTGAGGTATAAAGATTTCCCTCTTATTTTGGATCAACACATTTTTGTGAAAGACTGAATTGTTACCGTAATATCAGTGTAGGTTTTGTAAGTTTAATTTTTAAGATACACCAGCATCTGTTCTGATTAGCAGTTAGACAATTCGCCTCAGTTGTTAAACAGGTTAAATATCACCCTGTATTAGTTAGCATTCTCAAGGACTGAATTTTAATCATTTAAATAGAAAATAAAAAATGTGCTCTTTAAATTGATATGAAATGAATTCTTCAAAGATTAGCTCACAGCACAAACTATCCCAGCTATCTAAGGACACATTCAATTTTAGGGAGAAATACCAAAGCAATTAACATCTAAAGGATTCAGATTATTCTCCCTTTTCTTCTAAACTTGTCCACAAAATCAGTCCACATCAGTCATGACTGATTAATGTAATCTGTGCCTGAGAATCAGAAATATTCAAAGTGTAAGGAAAATAACTTTGACCATATGGAAAAAGTGCTGTTCAAAACCATTATTTTACCAATATAATACCCATTCTGGAAAAAAAACAGTATACTTCACTAATTATTCTAAAGCTTTCAAACTTTAAATTGAGTTTATAATTGTAAAATAAATCATCTAACACCCTCTACTGATGGGGCTTGTTTCAACTCTTTAAGACTCTTGTTTAAGACTGGATGAATAATCTCAAACAAAAACACTTGGATACAGTGCACCTACTCTATTACAACTGTGCTTATCTATTATTTCATCAAGAAAGTTTTACAAATGGGCACAATTATATTCTGTCTCACTACCTGTGCTGATTCTGTACTTAGACCATTTATCTTCCTTTTGTTTTATTTATTTATTTTTCTTTAAAATTTTGTCTATATGGATGGATAAAAAGTTAGGTTTTCTAAGATATTTTCACATATTCTTACTTACACGATGATTTATTTTCTCTGGTAGCACTGTGCTTAATGTTTAAGAGGTACATCAGCAACATTTGGTTAGTATGAAAAGTTCTTATTTTGAACTGAAATAACAGTCATCTCATTACATTAATGTACACATGGCTGAAAAATAGTGTTTTGAGAAACTGGTTACAACTAGGCAATTTGCATCTAAACAAATACCTGAAAAATCCAGTTTATCTCCTGGCATGTGAACTTCTAGCACAGTTTGTGGTAAATACATGCTTTAAAAATAGACATAGCTTTTCAACTCCCAAATAAGCATTTAGAAGCAATGTTTCATTTGAATTGTGCATGTTTTTGGGCTGTTAGAGAGAATAAAAGAGCATAAGGGTGAGTAAAAATGAAGAGCATTGGAATTTGACCTTATTTTGCAACAGTCGAAATAAAGAAATTGCTCAGCATGAGAAAAATTAGGAAGATGTGTAGTAAAAAAAATTAACTTTACGTAAAAAGAGATCTGGTCTTCACCCTTGGCTCCTAGGAGGTGATCTTTAAGCCCTTGGAATGTCATGCCTGATAAAACCAATTTTGTTTACCTGGGACCATTGGGCCACATTAGATAGTTTAACAATGTGATTCAAAGTGGGGTATGGGAACTATGGTTAACCATATGAGTGAATAACCAGGCTTAGGGGACCCATACCCAATAAAACTCTCAACACAAAGGCTGTAGTGTGCTTCCCTGGATGGCAACATTCTGCATGCATTGTCATACAGCATTGCCAGGAAGTCAGCACTATTCATGACCCACTGGGACAGAGCAACTGGAAATTCATGTGGAACTTTTCTGGGCTCTGTCCCATCCATCTCTTCCATTGGCCTAGTTTAATATGTATCTTTTCACTGTAATAAACTGTAACCAGGAGTATAATCACTTTCCATAATCATCTGGAGTCCTTCTAGCAAATTATCAGACATGAGCATGAGGTTAGGGACCTTCTCCTGACTTGCAGTTAGTGTTAAAATTGAGGACGGCCTGGGGGACTGTTCTTTAGCTTAACAGATTTTTACAATGGTTGACAGCATTTATTTACTAAAATCTTCAGGGCAGCACTGAAGTTCAAAGCATTGTTTGCTTTTCTATTTTCTACTATTATGCCCATTGGAGATATTGATAGTAATTGATGGACTATGTCATAGTGAGTTACATTTTGTGTCTCTTAATATATAATCAAATGTAATAAATATTGAGGGTTTTTGGTTTTCTTTTACTTTTCCCTTATAAAGGAAATTTAAAAGTGTAGTCTTAGTTTGAATTAACTGAATTGGATTTATGAAATTTCAACAGTAAATAAGAGTTAAAAGTCCTCTTTCTAATAATTTTTATTGACGATTACTAGTTTATCAAAATATTATTTTCTATGTCTTTGTTTTAAGAATTTTTTACTGGCCTGGCGCAGTGGCTCACGCCTGTAATCCCAGCATTTTGGGAGGCCGAGGCGGGCGGATCACGAGGTCAGGAGATCGAGACCATCCTGGCTAACACGGTGAAACCCCGTCTGTACTAAAAATACAAAAAATTAGCCAGGTGTGGTGGCAGGCACCTGTAGTCTCAGCTACTCGGGAGGCTGAGGCAGGAGAATGGCATGAACCCAGAAGGCAGAGGTTGCAGTGAGCCAAGATCGCGCCACTGCACTCCAGCCCGGGCGACAGAGCAAGACTCCATCTCAAAAAAAAAAAAAGAATTTTTATTTAGCCTACTGTATTGGCTATTGTTATGTTTGCAAGTACTTAGAAATAAAATCCCATTGTTTTCTTCCTATAATCCAAATTTTCCTTTCATAGGCACATAACATGGCTTAAAAATAAAAGCTATTTGTTGTAAAAAGGACCAACTTCATCCTAAGTAGATTTTATTTCTTCACATTAGGCTTTTGGCAACAAAAACAAACACTTCATTGATTTTATGTCATCATCTCCCAGACAAGAAAACAATGAGCAAATAACAATGAAAGTAGCCTTAAAAGTTAGTTTTCTAAACAAGAAAGATCAGTAATAAAACAAGGAGATTTATTTTTTCTGAAGTAATGTATTTCAAGGCTTTTGTAGTTTTCTTGAATAATTAAAAAACTGATCTTTTAAAAATGACCTGTGCATAAAAAATTAGAGTTTTTGATATTATGCTTCTCTGAATCTAGTATCTTAAATATAGCAGTGATTTATACCTCACTTGTGTATGTACGCATGTGTATTAATTTCCTGTGGCTGCTGTAACAAATTACCAAAATTTTATGGCTTAAAAAAACAGAAATTTGTTACCTCACAGTTCAGATGCCAGCAGTCTGAAGTCACTCTTATTGTGCTAAGAGTTATTATCAGGGCTGCATTCACTCTGGCGGTTCTAGGGTCGAATCTATTCCTTGCCTCTTCTAGCTTCTAGTGGCTGTGGCACTCCAATTCTGGCTTCTTTGAGTGTATTTGGCTCAAACATAAACATATTTGGCTTTGTTTATGTAAAATCCCCTTCTGCTTCACTATTACAAGAACACATGTGATTGCATTTAGGGCTCACCCATACTAGGACAATTTACACATCTCAAGATTCTTACTTTAATCACATCTGTAAAGATTACTTTTATCCATAGAAGGTAACATTTATAGGTTGCCAGGATTAGGACATGATATATTTTAGAAGGACATTTTTCAGCCTACCACAGTGTATATCCTTATAACTCTGTGTGCTGCTAGGAATCCCAAATCTAGATTAAAATGACTGTATTAATTATTAACTTCTGTCTATTTAGGACTTGTAGTGATTTTGTTTGTTTTTATAAATCATGGCTCATCTTTGTGCTTAGGGATGCAGGAAGGGTTCTATATGTCCAGAAATATTTCACATATCTAAAGTAAGTAAAATATAAATATCAAGAATTTTTTGAGATAGATCTGAGTCCCCAAATAATTCTTAACGAAAGTTATGTTTTACCTATGTAATCTAACGGTAGATAGATAGATAGATAGATCTCCATTAATTCAAAGGGGAAAAAATGGGAAACAAAAACCTTTTCAACATTTCCTCTAAGGGTGTTTAGTTAAGTTTTGAAAACATAATAGCTTTTCATCATAAGAGATGATATGGATATTTACCATTTTTTTTTCTCATTAGGCTTTAGCAACTTGGAGATGGAACCACAGAGGCAGGAAGTCAAAGCTGCAGGGAACTTTCCCAAACTAGCCAGCAGCTGGAGGATGGGGGTTGCCCTTTGGTTGGATTCCTTCTTAGTAGGCTAAACTTTGGATGAAAATACATGTGGGGAAGCTAAATGTTTTATTTATTACCTAATCTGTAATTCTCAAGGGTACCAAAATGGTCTTAGGTTGGGGGTACCCTCAAGCTACTAACAGAATTTTTTTTAAGTTCTTATTTTAAATTATTCCTGCAAGACTCCCATATAATAAAACTGAGCAATAAACTCATCAACACAGATTACCAAATACGCTATAAAGCATACCACAATGATAAGAGTTAATTAAATCCAAAAGCAACAAGTTAAGCTCCAAGAAACTACAGAAGTTTCAGTAATCAGATAAAAAGTGGAGTATCTACATATGCAATTAAGAAAAATACATCCTCATTAAAACATACACATGTATCAAGAAACTATCAAAATAAAGAGAAAAATTATTTACTTCCTGAAATAAAAAGTATAATTGTGAAATAAGAAATTCACTAGACATATTAATCCCCAACTTAAACATAGTTAAAGGAGAATTAGTGAATGGAAAGATGTATGAAAAAGAATACTAAGTGATAGGAAGGGTAGAATGAGACTTTCTAAATGCATTTCAACAGAGTAGAAGGAAAATAAAATAGAGCTAATGGCTGATAACTTTTTAGACCTGATGACAGGAATGATTCTATAATCATTGGAAGTACAACATTTATCAGTCAGATAAATATGATAAATACACACTCTAATGATACTTCAGAACTGTAAAGACAAAATATCTTGAAGACAACTAGAGAAAACAGTACATTTAAACTGTAATGGTAATTAGGCAAATAGAATAACATAGTTTAAAATCACCATCATATTGCTTGATATTTAATTATTTTGATTATAATTACGATATTTGCTATGGGCATACGTGAAGCTTTTAAGTTTATCTCACTCATTAAAACAATTTTAAGATTTTTAAATAACATATATTCTTCACAGGTAATCACATTGTTTTAGAGAGCTAGACTCATATTGTAAAATGTAGATGAATAGCCTATAAGAATAAAACAGCCATTATCTTGAATTTAACTCATGTTTTGTTGAGTTATTATATAAATTGATTAATTTATACGTTCAAAAAATGTCACTTGCACAATTATTTTGTGCCAGGATTATGCTATGAATTGAAAATAAAAGCTGTAGTTCTTGCCCTTAATAATAATATAAAAATGAGTGTGTAAGTTATCATAGATTAAAATACAGTAAATCCAAATATAAATTTTATATTTCTACACATTATGGTTTATAAATTTCATATTTCTTAGATGACTTTGAATCTTGAACTTTTTGACTATGTACCTGAAAAATTATTGCATTGTGTATGTTTTAAAGTGCTACCTAGTACATATTGGAATTTCAAACTAGATATTTTAGTGTGTTAATCCTTTTTAAAAGAAATAATCTTATTCTGGAAAAAATTTTTGCTCTAAGATGATTTCAGTTAGTAGAAATTGAGTTCAAATCAGAATTTTCTGCTTGATTCTTGCACTCAAAATATAGACACATTTAAAATATTTGACATAGGGAAATTTGTTTTAAATTCATTTAACCTTTTACTTTTTAAAAATATGCTCAATATTTCTCCTTAGATGAACTGAATTTATCAAAATGAAATAGATCAAAGTATCCCAAAATTATACTAACATCAAAGTAATCTTTATCTATAGGTGTTTATAATTTGAAATATCTACCAACCACCACCCAAGTATTTACTGAGCACCTAATATGTGAAAGGATGTAAAGTGTGACAACTGCTTTATATGCATTACCTCAAGCAATGTTCACAACAAACCTCTGAGACAAGTATTGTCAAAGAACGTTGTTTCACATTTGAGGAAACTGAGGTTTGGGAGGCTGAGTAACTTGCACTGAATCACTCATCTGGTGACAGTCAGGATTGGAATTTCACCGTCTCTGACCAAAGTTAATTCTTTTAAATATTATAGTGTGGTATTATACCACAGTTATAATGTGGTATTTTCTAGAATATATTTATTTTTATTTTCTAAGTAAGTCTTTAGAGGTGGTAAAGCCACCACATGCAACAACCAGAATTTTACAGAATGTTTCCAAACAGTATGTAACAAAGTATTACCATTTCTTCTTTTCAATTTATTTCAACATCACAACCTGTAAAATTATATCTGTGCTGAATTTTATTGTAGTTAGAACAATTTTACTTTAAATACCTTGAGGCCAGGGATTGTGTTTATATTCACATATTTGCCTTAGTAGCTTTCACATTTTTGTGATGACAATAGATGCTCAGTAACTCTATTCTTAACTATCTTCAATGTATGATGGCAACTGATTACATGTATGCTGTGTACAAGGCTAAAGGCTGGTGACAGCTCTAAGGTATACAATTGTCCATTTAAAACTGGTTCTGTTATAAGACAAGTTCCATTCAACGGTTCTGCTTTTAAGTAGCTCACTGCAATTTTCAATTGCAATTGTGAACAGAAAAAGCATGTCTGCAAAATGAATTCGTGTCTTTTCTTATAAGCATCAGAACGATTTAAAGCAGAATTCTATGGTTGTTTATTGACAATACTTTCCACTGGCAATACATTTTTCTGGGCAGAGGATCAGAAAATCAAACATTCTAACTAACAAATAGCTTGAAGTGAGAGAAGCGAAGGAACCTAAAGCACCTTGCCTATCTCGCTCAAATTTGAAAGATTTGAACATATGTTGAAACTATGAGATACCTATTTTTATTTTTCTTTGAATTTGCACTAAAAGTTTTCTTATTTGGCATTTGAATTGAATGCTTAATTTTTTGCAAAGTTTTCAAAATTCAGAACTGCAGAACCGAAAAAAAGAAAAGAATATTTTCTGTCTTTCAAACTGCTAAAGAGAGAAAAATCATAGCTGGATGCCTTTGTCTGTCCTTATATTGCATTGTTCTCTGTATTCCTTTCCATATTTCCAATATACATTTATTTGTTTATTATGACTTCCTTTCTGTAATCACGTTATAGCTTCTTTTGTGGAATGTGCACACATGCGAGTTCCCTGTGCTCATCTAGTCTTTATGTTACTCTTTTTATTTGTTCTTTTCTCCTTTTTAAATTTTCTTGATGTGTCCATTTCTTATTATTGATGTAACAAATTACCAGGAACTTTGTTCTAAAAACAACACAAATTTGTTATCTTAGGGTCCTGGAAGTCAGAAGTCCAAAATCAGTCTCACAGAGTGACAATCAAGTTGATGAAAAGGCTGCTTTTCTTTCTGCAGACACTCGGAGAGAATCCATTTACTTGCCTTTTCCAGCTTCTAGAGGTCACTCACATTTCTTGTCTCTTGACCCTCTTACATCTTCAAAGCCAGCAATGGCCAGTTAAATCCTTCTCATGATGCTATCCCTCTGGTTCTGGCACTTCTGCTTCCCTCTTCCTTGTTTAAGGGCCCTTGCAGTTACATTGGGCCCACAGGTAAATCAGGCATAATATTCTTACCTTAAAGTCAGTTAATTAGGAACCTTAATTTCATATGTAACTTTTCTTCCATTGGCCATTTAACATAACATTTTCACAAGTCCAGGAGTCAAAATGTGAATATTCTGGGGGGATCATTGTTCTGCCTACCAACACTTGGAAAGCAGAATTGCTTATTTAAGTCCAAGGTATTGTCTTTCCTTTATCTCAAAAAGGCTCCAACCCAAGACTGTTGGTCCCACAGCTGGTCCTCAGCTGCCTAATGGCAGCACCTTCACAGAACAAAAAGGTTGCCTTTGACTTCTGTATGCTTAAACCTCTATGCCCTTGAGGGATTCAGCTATATTCAGAGTTTTGCAAGTAGGACATTTCTTCTGTTTACTTATGAAATGCCAGCGCAGGGTGCTTTCTGAGTAAGGCCTGGGAAGAAATAAGAAAAACAATGAATTACAATCAAAAGGAAAAAAAGATAACACCCACACATTTGTCTTTAAAGTTATAGCTTGTGGGGCAGGAATAGCTGTAATCCCAGGAAAAATTGTATTGAATACATTAGGTTTCTGTTCTGGGAATAGTGTGCTTTTAAGTTCATTTTCACCAGAAATCCGTTCCCATTGCAGAATATCTTCTATCCCAGTATTTCTGTTTTATTTATGATAATTTTCTTCTCCATTTTCATCTTTCCTCTTTCCTTTTTCCTTTTTTCTTCCACACTGACATGGTTTGGCTGTGTTCCCACCCTAATCTCACCTTAAATTTTAATAATCCCCAAGTGTCAAGGGAGAGACCAGGTGGAGATAATTGAATCACCAAGGCGGTTTCTCCCAAGCTCTTCTCATGATGGTTTTATAAGGGGCTTCTCCCTTCCCTCAACTTCTCTCACCTGTCACCATGTAAGATGTGCCTGTTTCATCTTCCACCATGATTATAAGTTTCCTGAGGATTCCTAGCCATGCAGAACTGTGAACCAATTAAACCTCTTTTCTTTATAAATTACCCAGTCTCAGGTATGTCTTCATAGCAGCATGAAAATGGACTAATACACACACTTACCCCATTATTACATTATTTGGGCAAGTCAATAAACTCAATCTTCTAAGAAAGGTGAAATCACCTATTATACTGAAGTAAGTGTGGTTATGGGAATAAGAATGTTGATGTTTTCAGTTGCTGGTTAGAAATAGTCCTCCCAAGGTCTCCTTTCTCTAGGTGCTCAGGTGCACAAGTGGAACATGTAATCAGAAATATCTTTTTTAAAAAGCTACTATGAGAATAGATTTTGTGAAATACTTCAGTTTTCTATTGAGCACAGTGCTTAGAAGTTTTTAGAATGGCAGCAAATATTTGGTAAGCAGATGTTTAACGTTGTTCAACAAAAGAATAATATGCTAGATAAGTCCAAGGTCAATTTCTGAGATGAAGATGCCTCTTATATGTCCAAAGTACATTAGAAAAAACAGCTCAATTCATATTCTTATGCTGTATCTTTGTTATTCTTGTCTCTTTGCTCTTTCTTCATTCTCCATTTGTTTGTTTCTTGATCACATCCATTGTTTGATCTCCCCTGTTTGTAAAATAGACACTCAATGAAAAAGTGTGATAAGCATTTTGCAAATTTCCCAACACAGAGATGACCAGCTCTCTGTCCTCATATTTTGCAGGGTATAAATCCAGCACATAAATCTAGTATTAGCTATATGACTAAGAAACATTGATAAATTGCTAGTCACATAGCTTAATTGGACATTACACAAGACTACCATTATCTGCATATGTAGAATGGTTTCTATATGTTAGACACAGTATTATCAATTTTTATCTTTTTCTTTAGTGAACTAGCCTCATTTATTTAAGAATGAGAACTTTCTCTGGTATGAGGCTTGATAATTATAAGAAATTAAATCAATATAGTTAAGTGGGAAAAAAAAAGTAAAAGTCATTCAGAATGCAACAACTCAGAATAACTCTTATTAACACCATGGCAATATTGTTTGAGATGTATATTAATAAAATATGTAGATATGATAGAAATGAATAGAATATTAAACATAGTACTCTTTAATATTTTTAAGTAACAAATTTATATTAATAGAATTAAATAGGATAAAATTAAAGAGAAGAAATGCTGAATTTCAGAGAAAGTTTATTTCAGAAGATATTGCTTCCTAACAGATTCCTTTAATGTAATGAAAAACTTTATGGGGTTTAATTAGTACCATTTTTTTAACCATGTATTTCACTTTTTCATACAATGAGAAGATATAAATTGTGCTCAAAATTGTATTATCTACTTATGTGTCTGCCTCATGTGTTTGCACTTGTATTTATCTTTCTACCAGTTTGTCTCTATTTCAGCTCCATATAGATTATCTTCTCTCTGACTCCTTTAGTTTGCTGTTTTTCTTTGCATTCATTCGATTATTTCAAGTTTTTCTTTTTAGCTGGCAATTCAATTTCTAATTGGGTCTGTTTGTATACAGAGAGCATACATAGTTTTTCTTGTATTATTTTGGTTCTCCATATTCTAACTTATCCAGTTTTCAAAAGTTGTAGATGTTACATATTTTATAGCAGTGGAAATAGTCACAATGTAAGTAAACTCCCTAAGACCACAATGATATTGTAAAAGAAATGGGATTCAGACTCTGATTTTCCTAGTAACAGCCTTCCTTATCTAATTTTTGACAACCTATATCTAGCAACTTGAATTGTATAAATTTAATCTGTATAATATTTTTGAAGCTTTGAATCCATGCCAATATAAAGCTTTATTTTAGTTCATCTACTAGTTGTAACATGTGATTTCCTCAGCTATGTTTATAGAAAATAAGTAACTTAAATATTGACATGTAAGAAGAAAAAGATACTCATTCAGTCTCATATTGTGATTTGTGCCTGAAATACTAAAGCAAAAGTTTATCAAGAGATAATATTTCATGAACTGTTTTCTATCATTTTTCTCATTTCAAATGAGTTAAAGTCCCAAGAATTGAAGGTTCTGTACTGCAAAGATCAGTGAGGAGACACTCACACATGGTTAAGCATCACTTTGGGAACCCCTGTCTAAAATGGGCAAACTCTATCAAATGGCATCTTCAACTTCTTTTAGAATTAATAAGCAGAACTTTTTGCTTTTCTGCAAAGATGAATTTCACAAAGAGGAACATTTCTGTTCAAATGCTGATACATGTTTGTTTTCAAACAATGAAAGGAATTAAAGCAAAGTAAAAATATTTCTAAGTACTTCAGAGTTGCTAGCAGAGTTGAGAAGAGACACAAACTTCTAGGGGAAGATCTGGAGCATCCATTCAAAAATCTCCAGTTCTGATAAGGAGACTAATGGAGAAGTCAGAGAATGAGTGACTTGAGCAGAAATTAATATGATGTCCCAAATTTTAACCTCTACATTTGGAGTTACTAAAACCCCTGGTAGGAGCCCAAGAGGCTCTAGAGTCCATAGCTCCCAGCACCGAAGTGAGGAGCAGGCAGCCAAACCAAGAGATACTTGTGTTGCAACCTGGGAGCAAGATGATGACCTCCTGGACCTCAGGCTCCCCCCACTGCTCAGCCTCTGTGCCCTCCTTGGTGTTCCCGCTTCTTGGAATCCTGCCCTCACAGCTCCCTGTGGGTATACTCTCATCTGGAATTTGAAATATCATGCTGCTTCACGGTTTTTTTTTTTTTCAGAGATCTTTTAAAGTCATTTACACTTGGTTCAAAATATAATCCCACCATCATCAATTACATAACAATTCGTCATCTATTTGCACCAAAATTCACAGTGTATTTTTTCATTTGTTACAGTTTCTCCTGAGACGTATTTTTTAAATTCAAGAAGACAGAAGTTCACAGCTTCTATGAATGTGGAAGTGGGTCCTCACCAGACACTGTATCTGCTGGCATCTTGATCTTGGACCTCCCAGCCTGCAGAATGACTTGTTCAGTCTGTTAGGAATCGACTATATGTAATATGTGAGAAACAGCTTGCAGAAACACTAGATTCACAGATGGAGGAGAAATGCCAACTCACTAACAAGTTTAGTGCTGCCAAAAAGGAGTTAGATGCTTACAAAAAGGTGAAGATAGAGCCCAACGCAAAGCTGATGGAGGCGTTCCCTGCCCTGGTTCAAGAATTGAAAGAAGAGAGGTTCAAACTGTCCCAACAACAAGGGAGGCTGGCAGAGATGCTAACAATGCTGTAGTCCTTAGAAGAGGCCATGAGAGTCACACCTGCACAAAGAGCTCTGCCAAACCTGCCAGGAAGACAAGATCCAAGCCCTCTGCTCACTTCCCCAGGAGTGGGCCTGGGTCTTAAAGCAGCACTGTTCCCTCCCCTCCATTCAAGCCTCCCAAGCTGCCCAGCTGCATTCTCCCACCTGGATTCCATCAGAGGGTCGTTGAGGCAAGTGGATCCAGGGAAGCCTCTCTCTGAGCTGGAGTTCCTCTGCCTTCACATGCTGACACCGTGGCCAACTCCTTCATGGTTGATTCCTCCAAATGTAAAGAATACAGGAGATCCTGGAACACACTAGGAAATGTGAGACTTTCTCTCTCTTCATAGAAAGATTAGATTCTCTCTCATTAGCAGTGAAAGAAATGCTGTAATTGAGAGCCTCATTTTTTACTCAAATTGAAATATCATCACACTGCATTTCTTAAGACAATGGTCTATAAATGTTTTTATATATTAATAAGTGGACAGTTTATCCTTTATTTTCTAAAAATTATTGTATTATACTTTGAAAATACATGATTTTCTCAATAACGCTTTGAGTACTCAATAGCAATGTTGTTTCTAGACTTATATTCCCAAGAACTATGAGTTAAAACATCATGTTTTGACTTCAGTACATAGTCATTGAAAATTATTTTGTTAAAAAGATTAATAGGTTTATTGTAGGATAAAGTGGAAAGTATGCTTAGAAAGAAAGTTTTATTATTGACTATTTATATTCTTCTATAACAATAGATATTTTTAATAAACAAATTTGATAAATTAAAAATAAATAAATAAATGCCATAGGAAACGTCATAGAAATCTGTGAAATAGTTTGAGTGGCCAACTTCTTCCTCTAAATATTGGAATGTCAGTAGTTAGAAAATATGTTTTTTAACCAGATTTAAGAGTATAAATCTTCTAACTCTGGGATTATGAATGGAACATTGTATCTAATTTTCCCTGAACATTATGTCTTGCACATTTACGAATTCAATAAAAGTTTGTGGAAGGAATGAAAGGAAGAGTTTTCTTAAGAGCAAACACTGGCCTATATCCAAATGATACCCAGGAAACCAGGTATGTGTGCATGTGCATACATGCGTATTTTTAAACAAGGAGAATAAAAATTATCTGAGCTCCTGCAGGTGGGCTCCACCATCCCTCGGTACCCTGTGGACCTTTTCACGTTTTTCATTGGCCCAGCCACACAAACAGGCAGACCTTCAATTTCCCTTCTCTCACTCTGCCAAGTCTAATTTTAATCAAAAGTATAAAGTAAAAATGTTAAAGTATAAACGCTTGGTCTTTAAAGAAGTTGGAAAACTTTATTCTTTCTAAGTGCTATTTTCTTCATATTATAATGCAATAATGCAGTAATGCAGTATTACAGAACGGATCATTTGGCTTGCTGAGAGTTTACAATAATATTTGAAACTAATATTTCACTGGAGCATATGTTCTGTTGATTTAAACCTTCTGTCTCCATGGGCAGGTGTCCTATTCTCTTTCCATATCTGTGTCTTACACCCCAGTAGCTTATGTGGAATATTTACTACCTGTTAATTATATTTTAGCTCATTTACACTGAGCTCAGAAACAGGCTCGATTTGGGCTATGACCAGTAAGTGCCTTGTTTCCCTATCTTCAGTATGGGAAATAAATATTTAAGACTTCATATTCATCTCAGTTCTTTGGGGAGGACCACAACTGGTTTAATAAGCAGTTTTTCATTATGTTAAGTAGGATTGTCAAGCCTTTGAGCACAATTCATTTTGTCTAAAGAACCAATTTTATTTTGCAGTAATGAATGGATGTAATATCCCCAAACAAGTTTAAAAGCTCTTTGTCTATGCCAAATTGAGGATCGGGGATTTTCCTTTGGTTTGTATTTTTTTTCTATATCTTTTTGTCTTTTTTTTTTGTCCCCTTACTAAATGCGGCAATTTTTAAATGTAGAAATAGCAGTGTGTCTTGAAGATGTGTATTATATTGCTTTCATTTTTTTTAGAGCAAAGCAAACATGTTTTTGATAGAATTGATTCATCTAGAGCTTTGTGTAAACTTAGTCTGCATAAACATGAACAGCCTGATAAATTCTGAAAGAGGACTAGTGCCTCAATATTTTTATTTAGGTGTTTCCATTGAAGTTCTATAATTCTTTTGTATCACTTTTAAATTAAAGCATTTCTCATGCAAAATAGAAAAGGATGGGCTAAAATTAAATTCAATGTTTTCAACATTCTAGCAATTAATAAAAATGATTAATATTTAATGGAGACAAAAATCTGGGAAAATATTCTCTCTCAATAATTCCCAAACTCTTTTTTTTTTTTTTTTTTTAAGATTACAGTTCGAAGCTCTCATATTCCTCCGGAAGCAAGATGAATTTTATCACCCCCGATCTTTATAGAAAATGGTGAATCAAATTGCCAAAATGCTCTCTGAATTAAATTAGAAAAGTTATGCCCTTTGATAATTCCTGGGTTGCACAAACAAAAGCTTGAGAACAAGATATGATTGTATCAGCACAATAGCACATGATATGGATTTGGAAATGTCCCATGTGCTAACTTGCAATAGTTAGTTCTGAAAATGTTTCAGTGCATCCTCAGCTATCAAATAACTTTTTGATATTTCAGACAGTTTGGAGAACATTTTGAACGTTCAAGCCAGACAAATTTAAAATCTATTTCAAACACTGCCACTTAATTGCTTTGTAAAAGCCAAGGGTCTTCAATGTTTCTCAGCTAATAAAATGTTGATAATTCATAGTGCTAAATACTGGCAGCTCTCAACCTCTGCTAAGATATCTGTAAGGAGATGGCTGCACTGCAGTCAAGTATAGACCAAGGTACACATCTGGCATAGCATGGCACAGCGGGTTTGGAGCGCAGACGCACAATCCCATGCATTACATAATCACAGCTATGTAGCCATAACATGGGAGGGCTCATTACCTAGCTCTTGGCCACTATTGTTTGTAAGATGCGTAAATGAAGCACCAAGTATGAGTGAGCTGCTGCTGAATAAAGCCACTGCCCACCTACCTGTGGTCTCTTGAGTGTTCTTTCAGCTGCCTGCCCCTCACTCACTGACTCCCCTGGAACCTAACCTATCATATAGCAATTCTCTTCTCAGTTGTTCTTCAAAGGGAGTGGAGAAAGAATTGACAGGGTAAGCAAATCCTATGAGTGTTAGAAATGTTTCATTTTCCGTTGGTGATATATCTGTATTTGTTTCTGATTTCACCACTGAAAGTGTCATGGATTTACACTGGAACCCCACAGTATAGTAAGTTATGCTTATTAGAAAGTACTTAGAAAAAGATTTTCTAGATTATTGATAACATCTCTTTTCCATCTTTTGATTGTAACTTGATTATTATTAAAATCTCTAGGAGTTATTTGTGTAACCCACTTGGCAGACTTCCAAATAGTTTAAATGGTTTTATTTAGGCATTTTTTTTGCCCTAACATTTTCTAATACCTCAGTTACTCACGTATTTTTTGAAATACCTAAAACAGATAAATATATTTTTAAGTATATATTTTTCAGGTATTTTAAGAATTTGAAAAGACATCCTAAAGCTCTTGTGAAAAAAAATGTATTTTATTCCCAATAAAAAGTATTATATTCCTCAGAAACTAAAATCAGAACATCCCTGGAGTTAGCTGTTCAACTTTTCTCCCAAATGGCACTTAATTGGAGCTAGACATTATACTTTAGGCCAAAGGAGACAGTGGAAAAGATTTAGGCACTTGTGTTTTGTTTTGTTTTGTTTTGTTTTGTTTTGTTTTGTTTTAGAATGATAGCATGCTGGCTTAGTTTAGTACACTGAAGAAGATTTTCATTTACTAGAGTAGTTTCTAAAGACAACATCATTTTATTTCCTAGTAAAATATCTGCAGACCTTTTTTACCAAGTTACATATGTAAAATATTTTTAAAGGATTTCTGTTGGTAGTTTTAAAAACTGTGTTCAGACTTATTTTGCTTCTTTGGCCAGAAAATGTAACTTTGGGAATTCTAAGCTACTCTGCCAAAAATGGATTTTCAATTTGAGCATTATGTTTAGAATGAGAGTAATGCAAAAGAAATAAAAACTGTCTGAAAAGTCAAATTTTCCTATACAGACAATGAAAATTACTTTTGAAAAATGCTTTTGAAATATGACAGTTCCATGTTTTTGTTATTGTTTATTTTGCTTTATATGCCTCAATTATTATTATTATTATTTTTTTGTCTTGAGATGGAGTCTCGCTTTGTCGCCCAGGCTGGAGTGCAGTGGCATGATTCCGGCTCACTGCAACTTCCACGTCCTGGGTTTAAGTGATTCTCCTGCCTCAGCCTCCTGAGTAGCTTGGATTACAGGCGCCTGCCACCATGCCCAGCTAATTTTTGTATTTTTAGTAGAGAAGGGGTTTCACCATGTTGGCCAGGCTGGTCTTAAACTCCTGACCTCAAATGATCTGCCCACCTCAGCCTCCCAAATTGCTGGGATTACAGGCATAAGCCACCGCGCCCGGCCTATAAGCCTCAAATTTTTAACAGCTATCTTAGTGTCTTAAGATACAAAACAAATAAAAATATTAATATGTATAATCGAGTATTGGTAAATCTCAAATATGCTCTTAAAAATACTTGTTAATAGAACTTTTTTCCTGCTTTTGCTTTTTAAATACATATTTTCCAAGATACAAATTCACAAATTCAGAAACTGATTTGAATTGATATTTTTTAAAAAAATCTAAAAGCAATTTTGTATAGTTAATTTAAAAATGTTAACATCTCCTTTTTTAAAACACTATATATATTAATAGAAGATTTTCAAATTTTGGGTGGCAGATGTTTGTAATTATTTTGAGCAACTGACACACCACAAGTTCTTCTCTAGTTCACAATAAAAATAGTTTATACATCAATAATGGCTTCATGGTGAGCTTTCTGGAAATGCGTTGTGGAATTTCAGACTTGTTACCCAGTAGCAATAATGGAAACTATAAAACCAAAAATCATTAAAAGCATTGGAGGATGTTTAAATATTGAGACTCAGTTTATGTTTATATGATATAGTCATATACCTAATAGAGTGATCTTTTAATGAGAATTGGTCTCATTTTCAATTTCTCTATTAATTCTTTATAGTTAGGAATTGCGTTTGTTAGTTCCAGAGATGTTTTGAGAGTGTGGTCTTTAGCCCTTTAGAGTTCTTATACCTAAATTGACTTTTTAATGCTTTTTCTCCCATTAATTATTATGCCTCTATAATAGCCACCTGTTCTACCTCAGCTTAATTTCTATCTTGCCAGTAACTATGCCCACATTAAATGGCTTATAATCTTCCTCTGCTTACTCACTTTCCCAGATAAAAGTTTCTCAACATCTGGCAGTTCAAGTTATTCAGGATTTATCTGGCAGTGGCAGCTCAACAATCACTGGAAGGCAGAAATCAAGTTGGCAAGCTGGGCTTCTCTTTTTATGGATTTTGGAGGGGATGAAATGATGGGGGTTAAAACATTTCTGTTTTCAGGTGAAAATGGGAATGGTGATTGTTACTTTACCATACATCAGCATCACCTGGAGGGCTTGTTTAAAATAAAATACAGATTGTTGGGCCCCAAATCCTGATTGTTTGATTAAGTAGGTAGGGAGTAAATACCCAAAACTTGCATTTTAACAAATTCCCAGGGGATGCTAATGCTGCTCTAAAGAACCACATGTTAAGAAACCTCACCTTAGCCCTACACTGCAAATCACCGTTGATGCTGCTGAGAGAATGTGAGTAGCTAGACTCTCTGTAACCTGCATGGACTCAGTGGCGCAAGTCTGTTCTCCCTATACTTAAAAGATAAGTCTGTTCTACCAGTTGACCCACTAACCAGTATATACACCCTTGAAAATATGTAACTGGTGGTATCCATCTCATAAATCACTCACCTAGATGTATGGTATATGCACCTGACAACAATGATTTAACTGAAGCAAACTCTGAGAATGACCCTATGGTCTAAGAGGAATGTGTATTTGGAATTCTGAACTAAGGAATTTGGAAATGCCCACCACAAGGTTTCATTCTTTATCTTTGAGGAACACTTAAATTCTCAGCCCATCCCATGGAATGCAGGCTGTAGAATGGATGACGGCCCTCTTTCTGGGTTAAATAGAGGTTGCTAGGGGGGAGAGGGCTAAGTGAAAATGGTATATAAACTGTATTTCTATAAGTGGTTGCAGTTCTCCTATCCAGCCTGCCGCCACTGGACTGCCCTGTATTTAAGTCCCCTTAATAAACCCTCTGTCTTGTTTACTGTCTCCAGATCTCTTTTTTGGCCTCTTGAACATGGTACCATCCTTACTGAAGTCAGTAGTAGTCTAGCATGACACCAGCAACTGGATTTTAATTTGAAGCAAGCACCTTATATCTGAATCTTCAGAAGCTTTCAAAATAACAGTTTCATTCAGCTTTCTGATAGGTCACAAATTTGGCTCCAACTTGATAGTTTGGCTTCCAGAGGAATATCTGCCAGAAGTCATGATAAAGAGAGAATCAGAAATGTTCACTCAGGTTGTTCAGATTTCCCTTTCTTCAGAATCTGGCTTTGACTGTTTTCTATCACAACATGCTAATTTTCTTTAATACCTATTTCTTTCCAGAGTTTTGGCTTTCAACTGGGGGCAATTTTGCCCCTCAAGAGACATCTGGCAAAGTATGAGGACTTTCTGTTCATCACATTTGGGGGGATGCTTCTATAATCTAGTGGGTAGAGGTCAAGTATGTTGCTAAACTTGCTGCAATGTGCAGAACAGCTCCTCACAACAAATAATTATCCATTCCAAGATGTCCATAATGCCGAGGTTGAGAAATCCTGCTCTAGAGCAGAGATTGGAAAACTATGGCTATGCGCCAAATCCAGGCTCATGAATATTTTTTCTAAGTAAACATTTATTGGAATAAAGCCATGATCATATGTCTACATATTGTCTATGTCTGCTTTTGAGCTACAATGGCGGAGTTGAGAAAGTTGTGAAAAATTCCTCCTATGGGTCATAGGCCTAAAATGTTTGATATCTTCTTTATAGACAAAGTTTATAGACTATAGTGTGGTTGCTAAACTGATAGCATTATTATTATCACTTGGGCATTTGTTAGAAATGCAAACTCCAGAGCCCCACCCCAGAGCTACTGACTCAGTAATTTTGGGGGTAGGCCCAGCAAATCTGTATATAGATAAGACCGCCATGTAAGTCTGATTTAGGCCAAAGTTTGAGAATACTGCTGTAGAGTACTGTATTCTTATCACACAGACTAGCATATAGACCAGAATACAGTTCATCGTGTGATCATTATTCCTTTTCTTTTCTTTTGAGACAGGGTCTCACCCTGTCACCCAGACTGAAGAGCAGTGGTGTGAACATGCCTCACTGCAGATTCAATCTCCCAGACTCAAGCAATCCTCCTTCCTCAGCCTTCTATGCAGCTGGGACCACAAGCACATGCTAGCATGCTTGGCTAATTTTTTGTAGAGATGGAGTCTCGCTTTGTTGCCCAGACTTCTCCTGAACTTCTGGGCTCCAGTGATCCTCCCACGTCAACCTCCCAAAGTGCTGGGATTACAGGTTACTGTGCCTGGCCAATTGCTTCTTTTATTATAACATAATATGGTACACTTAAGTTTTTAATAAACATATATTATTAGTAGATTTTACAATAAAGCAGGACTCAGGTTAATATAGTCCACAATTTCTTATCCCAAATGCAAAAGTCCAACATGCTCTGAATACTTTTTTATAAAATTATTTGGTGGAAAAATATGAATTGACCTGAGCTGATTTATGGTCTTTATCCCTTTTCATGTGCATATTTAGATGTTTCACTATAACAATAATATTGTGTTTCTTTATGTCCTGCTCTTACAGATACCACCTGAATCTGAGGTCCTACCACAAATGTGGTACTGCTTTATAATAGGCTGAAGTACCAACAAACTGTAGAACGTGCAACTATTTTTCTTCCCAGTCTTAATAGAATACAGATTTCTGATTCCCACCTTGAACCTAATGAATAAAAATCTCTATTTATATGCTCTAGGCTGCAGTACTAAGTGGCACTTCACATGATTTGACATGAAAGGCCCAGAAAGAAAATAATTTCTAGTGTCAAAAGAAGAGAAGTGGAAATTAAAATATTTATTTTTGGCTTTTTAATGTAGGAATCTGAAATAATCACACACTGTAGTTAGTCAACTATCCTAGTAAATGGAAAATTCAGAGTTTTTAAAGGATTCCACAACATATAATATCACTTAAGATGAAAACCCACTAACTTTCAGAGGATTTAGCATTCATATGCTCCAATGCTAACTATATTAGTACTAAAATAAATGACACATAAATCATAACACATTGAAAATCTTTATCTACTTAATATGTTTATCTGCCTCAATCAGAAAAATAAAGCCAAGCTATTGAAACTATGCCCCAAAGAGTTAAGAAAACCATTTACTAAATTCTTAGGCTTACAGGTTAGTAAATTTTAAAAAATAAACAATTCACTGAAAAACGGAAACTCAGGCTGTGCACCAAAGAATAAGAAACCAATAACTAACAAAAGGTCTTCAGTTGGCAGGATAACAGACAAGAAAAAACAACAACAATTTGCTGAGATGCTGAAACTCCCTTCCCTTGTGAGAGCAAGAAAAAAGGACTGACATCAGCTGAAACCACTATGTTCCACTGGAGTTTGTGCAAAATGAGTTTGTTGATGTCACAGCCTGAATTCCACTGCATGTTTCATATTAACTCCCCCGTAAATTTGCACATGTGACCCATGAGTTTGCATGACTGTGCATGCCCCAAGGACTTCCAAACCTTCCACCAATCACCTGCCAATCCCAGTATCACCTGCTAAACCTTTTCTAATAAAAATACTGTCTTAATGACAGTGCAGGAAGACAGGTTTGAGCTTGACACTCCTGCCTCCTTGTGACTCACCTTGCAGTATAAAGCTTTTTTTTTTTTTCCCCCTAAAAAAAAAAGAAGCTGGTGTCATAGTACTGGCTTCTAGCACATCGGGCAGTGAGCCCTCATTGTCTCTGTGACGCTAACATTGGAGAATCTCTCATCTTTATTGATTTTTTCTAATATTAAGCAATATATGATATGCCAGCACCGGCAGAAGTTTGCTTTTGCACTAAATCTTGAAGGGCTAATAGTTCCCTCATGGCCCACATCATCCCATTCTAACTTACCAGACAAGTTCAGGGATAAGACATGGGAAACTGCCACACAATTATATTACTTCTCTGTTGCTACATAACACAATACCAAAACTTATCAACCTGAAACAACGCAAATGTATTATCTCATAGTTTCTGTAGGTTAGAAATTCATGCTTGGCATGATTGTTCAAGTTTTACCATGTGAAATCAAGGTGCTGGTCAGGTCTGAAGTTTTAATGAGATTCCTGGGGTTCTTTTCCTTGAAATTCACTGGTTGTGACAAACTTGAAATTCTGCAATTAGATGACAGAGGCCCACGTTTTCATGCTAGCTCTTGACCAGGTAATTCTCCCTTCTCCTAGATTCTTTCCACACTTTCTTGCCATGTGGCACCCATCAGCAGCTCAAAATCTGCACATTTACTTTCTTTCAGGCCTACCTGAGTATATCTCTCTGATTTTCTATTCTTCTACTAGTTGGAGGAAACTCTCTGCTTTTAAGAAGTTTGTGGGATTAAATTGGGCCCATCCAGCTTATATCCTTGTCTTAAAGGCAACTGGTTAGTAACCTGAATTATATGGGCAAAAACGCTTTTCATCATGTAAAGTCATTTAATTACAAGATTAATGCCTAGAAGCAAAAGCAGCTTTGAGAGCTGCTTTAGAATTCTGCTTACTACAACAATATATTAAAGCTACTTTATAATAGGCAAATATTAACAACTTCTTAAAATACATCTCTCTACCTCTTTTCCTAGAGTGACCCATTTTAACCATTCCTTATATTTTCTTGATGAAAATGTACCCATTCCTTATATTTTCTTGATTAAGATGTAGCCGGTTAATTTTTTTCTTAAAGAGTTCTACTAAATGCGGTGATAAAAGCAATAAGTGGAGGTTTTCCAATGGGCAAGAAGAAAGAATAGCTGGAGTGACTTCTAAAAACTGGGGGTCTTTTCTAGTTTTATAAACTTTGGCTCTTGATGATTAACACATACATTAGCTATTCTTTATAGGCATAGGTAATGTTTATTGGTCCAAGGCAGCAAAAATAGTGTATTTGACTATTATCAATATGTGTTCGTAATTGGCTCTATACTGTGCTAATCAATGTCAAGCTAATTGATCTCTCTTTTCACATGTACATATTGCATTATTTTATTTACAGATTCTTTTAAGGCATACAAACAGATGGCTTGATTTAGAAAGCTTTGCCTTATTCAGGAAAATTAGGATCTGTCCAGATGGAGTTGCAAGCTTCATTGCCAATATTATACCTTTACCATATGGACAGGAAGATTTATGGCAGGATAAACTATGTTTCACTTCACACTTTAACACAGATAATGTTTGATTACTTGTTCATCCTCATTAATTCTTGTTGTTAGGGAACAAGGGAATGGGAATCCTATAAATAAAGTATTAAAATAGTCATTTCAAGATTCCTACACAGTTCATAATTAGGAATTGGCATATTAGCACTTTACCATTTTTTCAAGCTTATAAAACTTGAAAAAAATTAAAACAAGTTAAAGATATAAAGATGGTTATCAACTTCTAAAAAACTGTACACAGAATTCTGATGCTTAACAATTTATAGAGTAGGAACACTCACCAATATGACCTAGAATTGATGATAACATAGTTAAGGCACAGTGTCAAATCACTTATAACCTGTAAAATCTCCTATAACCTGTAAATGAGTCCCTTGGGTAATTAAGTTATAAATTTGGTGTTACAAAGAGGAAAGAGCAAATTGTTTCTTGGTTACAATAATTGCTTTTTAAAAGAGAAATGGATTAAAAAATGCTTTCCTTAAATGTAACTCTCACCAATATTTTATATTTTAATAAATTTTTAAAAATTGTATTTGATTGAAATCAGAAGTGTCTCTAAGCAGCTCTTGTGGAGAGGAAAAGCCATTTTCTAGTTCATTGCAGATAATCTTTATTACATCATTATTGAAGGTCATCTGTGTCACAGATATGTCACACTGGTCATAAAAGAACAAAGCCTGTGCCATTTATTATAACTCATCCTCAAGTTAGGAAAAAAGTATTAAGACTTGAGTTCTTAGCAATTGGTCATAAGTATAATTTCAAGACAAATAAGCTTCAATGTGAAGTTCAATTTCGATTTGGGTTATTTGAACATATCACTTATGCAATTTCTTTATTATAAGGTTAAATTATTATTAAAGAGTTTGGAGAATCCAATATCAAAACCACTTGTCTTCAAGAATAAAGTTAATACTAAAAAAAATATTTCAATAGTTTTGGGGGAATGGGTAGTTTTTGTTATGTGGATAAGTTCTTTAGTGGTAATTTCTGAGATTTTCATGTACCCATCACTAGAGCAGTGTACACTGTACACAATGTGTAGACTTTTATACCTCATTCCTCTTCCTACATCCCCCCAGTCCTGAAGTCCATTATATTGCTCTTATGCCTTTGTGTCCCATTTAAAAGTGAGAGAATACAATATTTGGTTTTCCATTCCTGTGTTATTTCACTTAGAATAATGGTCTCCAATTCCATCCACATTGCTGCAAATGCCATTATTTCATTCCTTTCTACAGCTCAGTAGTATTCCATGGTGTATGTATACCACATTTTCTTTATCCACTTGTTGGTTGATGGGAATTTAGGCTTGTTCCATATTTTTGCAATTGCAAATTATGCTGCTATAAATGTGTGTGTGCAAGTGTGTTTTTCATATAATGACTTCCTTTCCTTTGGGTATATGTATATAAAATCAATTGATGTGATAAATTTCTGCAAACTATATGCATTTAATCATAATAATAATCCTAATGCAAATACTAACTTTCAAAGACACTTGGACACTTACAGTGGCTCTAGATTGGATTCCTTAATTCATAAAGTTCTCGCAAATCCAGACTTCCTTGTCTTATTCCTGGTTAAGTTCACTTTTTATGGTTTCATGTTTTCCCACGGGCCTCTCCAATTCTTTTTGCAATCTGTGGAAATGATTCCTTTTCAGGATTAGGATTTAGAGTGGGATTTGGGGGTCTTTAAGAACTAGAAACTCTAAGAGATAACATTGCTGAAGTACCGTCTGATTTTTGTGACGAAATGTGAAAGGCAGAGGAACAGATGCAGGAGGGGTCTTTGATAAGATAATGGGATTGGGAAGAGAGTTTTGTTTCCTTGTTTTTAAGAAAGAAAAAGGGATCTGTTTCTTCTTATCACTTCCCCAAGTGAATATGAGAGCCAGGAATGAGGGCAAACTAGGATTATTTAAAAGGCCCCTCCACCCAAGTAAACTATAACTGCCTGTTATTATCACCTAAACTTTATAAAGACAGAAAACCTTGAACATGATATTTAAGAGAAAACGTCTCTAAAAAGGTGAACATATGGGAGAATTTAACATCTAAGCAAATATATAACATCAGAATAATTAATATCCTACCAGATCTGTTGCCCTTTTGATAAAAGGCCTGAAAGCCACCAGAGTATTGAATTGGAGAAAATGAATTTGATTAAAGTTGAAAAGAGAGCAAAACAGGAATGCCAGTGACTCAGAACAAATTTTCTTACTCTGAGCAATTTGGATAATTATTGCATTATTTATCTTAATTTGTGTGAAAAGGAAGGTTGAGTACCGAGGGTAAATAAAAGTCATATGTTTATAGACCTGTACACCTGTGCAGCTTAGAGGAGGCTACAGTTTACAACCAACCCACCTTTCACTGAAAACCTACCTTTAAACCAAGTTGATATAGCAGGACACAGATAGCCAACTTCTACTCCCTATGGTCCTTGCAAATATCCTTGGAAATGTGTAAGACCTACATTTTGTAGGAAAAGCAAAACATTTTGATTCAAGGAGAATCCTTATTAAAGATTGGGAATGTAACTGTTGGACATCTTCTTTGGCAATGAGCCTGCTGATTAGGTCTTGTGCCAAGATGTGTACGAGAAAGGCATTGGAGAGCCACGGTACAGTGTAGATAGGGGAAAAGAGCGGAATGGTTATCCCCAGGTTTAGCATATCAAGGAGGTTTGACCTCTTTATGAAAAATTCGGACTCTTGGAGACGTTGGCTGGGTTAGTGCTGCCTTGTGGGTAGAGGACCTCAACACCAACATGCTCTAGGGTTATACTCTATTTGTTAGAGCTGAAAAAAATGTGAAAATATTGACTTGTAGCTGGAACTCCCTCATGACAATCTGTAAAATGGAAATACTTATAGAGCACTTCAAAGTATTCAAACAAGAGCTACAGGAGAGAACAAGCTCACAGAGAAGGCGTCAAGGGTCAGCTGGGTTAGCCATAGAGGCAGTAACAACTGAGAAAAAGATTTAAGAACCAGTTAAGTGTAGTGCCACAAGTCCCTTTTCTCACCACACATCCTATTTGATTTTCATTGTAACACAGAAAAGGAAGTGGATTTCAATAAAGTAAAGCAGGTATCTGAGAACCAGAATCATTTCCCACTTCTGTCTCTGAACAGTCAGAATATCAACTTAAGACCTCTAGAAGGGTAAAAAGCAGATAGAATGTAATGAGTTTGAGCTTGCAATATTAACTGAATGGATCAAACAGTGGTGAAAAATTGAGTTATCTGACTATTTAATATGGTATAATTTAAGGTGATGAGAGAAAATATTATCATTTTATATTAAAATCCTACTGAAGTATGTCTAATTAAAAACCAAATCAAAACAAAACAACAAAAAACCCAAAAAGTGTCACTTCAAACTCATGAGCTTATTTGTCAAAGACTTCTAGGCATGACTATCCAACTTGAGAAAGAGTCTAGACGTCCAATTACCAAAGGTTAATTTGTATTTATTATTCCAATGCAGGTACACACCCTATGCCCTCAACTAAGCAGAAAATTTAATTTCATAGATTCTTCTTTTTTTCTAGAATTCTGTTTATTTGACATTTGAGGACATGATAAATGTAGAAAAAATAATGATTATTTATTCCAGAGATTCATTTATAATAAAGTTGAAGCCATTTGATTATATCGCCTAGTTTTCATAAAATCTATTTTAAAAACGTTTAAAAATTATTAAGGTAATATTAGTACCTAGACCAATTGCTTCATTTATTTAAAAGGAGTATTTTGGAGGTAAGTCTAACAATTGCATTACATCAAAAGTACATATTAAGAATCATAAATATGTAATTATTAATTCAACAATTATATTATCTCTTTAATAATTTGATCTGTATTATCTTACCATATGTTTATTTTTACATCTTAGTTATTTTTGCACTTTAATTCAGAAGCTCCACTTTGGTGCAAAATGATATAATCATAAACTGTAAATCTTGATATGGACCCTTGGAGCAGCTGATTCCAAATTTTCCTCGTGTAGTTTTAGTACATTGCTAATTCTAACAAAAGGTGATGACTTGAATGACTGTTGAGTATTTGCAGAGCATGGGAGCACCAAAACAACTATGTTTTAGTGATTTAAATTTTATTTGTAATCGACAAATTTGGGAGAATAGACTCTATAAGAATAATGCACTTGGTTTATTCTTATTTATTTATATTTTTGAAACAGGATCTTGCTCTGTTGCCCAGGTTGGTGTGTATTGGCACAATCATAGCCCACTGTAACCTCCAAATCCTGGGCTCACTTGATCTTCTGACTCCAGCCTCCCTCCAGAGTAGATAGGGCTACACGCACACGCCATCACCCTCAGCTTATTCTTTTATTTTTATTTTTTGGAGAGACGGAGTCTCACTTTGTTGCCCAGTTGCTCTTGAACTCCTGACTTGAAGGGATCCTCCTGCCTAGGGCTCTCAAAGTGCTGGGATAATAAATATGAGCCACCCAGCTCAGCTGTACTTAATTTTAAAATACAATGGTTTTCAAGTAAAAAAAAAAAAAAGAAAAAAGAAAAAAACACCAAATAAACAATAGAACATTAATCAAAGGAAAGTGAGATTTCATGTTCTTGTTGAAACAGATCATATGTGTCCTCTTATCTAGTCACTGACTTTTTCAATGTAAGAAATGAAGAAAAGCTATTAATGATTTATAAAAAGTTAAAGGCGAAAGTCAGAATCTTTAAAAAGTGTTTCAAATAATTTGGCGGGCAAATTTATGCTATTTTCAGAACATACAGTGATGAGATATAGATATACTCATCATAGTACTGACATCATAAAAGAAACAAAACCTGACAACAAATATCTTTTCCAGAAAGCTATGAAGTGTTTGTGAACAGTACATTTTTGAAGAGGATTATAATGAAAACTGAGATTGACAATTTAGAGGAAACATCTCCCAACACAGGTGAGTTTTAATAACTGTACCATAGATTCAAAAAATTGCAAAAATATGTAAAATTTTTAGATGATGTGCTTAAACATAACATCAATATAATATCAATTTATTATAGCTTATAACTTAATATTAATCTAATAGAAACTGTATTTATACATATGTGTTGTTACTGTTGTATAGTGAGAATGGTGGGCAGAGGAGAAAAGTTTAAAGTTGACTATTTAAATAAAATTATGAATATGACCTAGTCACAGATCTAATCTCTGTATCTGGCTTTTAATCTGCAAAGTAGACAGGATAATGAAATTCATCCAGGTTTGTTGGGAGGATTAAATTAAATGGCATAATAGATATAATAAAAATTAACAGTCTTTGAAATATAGAAAGACACCAATAAACTTCTTTATATCAGAATCCTGTTATATGCACATTGTAAATACTCTTAGTTTTATTAGACTCCAGTTTTATTAAAGATCAATAATTGTTAATATATGCCGTATTTTCTAAAATATGCATACACCATACCTATTCTTAGTAATGCCAGAACACAAGTTATTCTACAGGTGAGTTTGGGGTTTGAGGTTGAATACCTAGATCAGACAACACCACCAACAAAATCCCTCTAGCATTTGCTCTGATGAAAAAGAGCTTAAGTTAGGGAAATTTACGCAAAAATCAGTTTACTTCTTTCACAATCAGTACTGCAGCATACTTCTGACCTGCACGAAATGATAACTTTTTCTTCTTCCACTTGTGTGTCATGAAAGGGCATAGCATGAGGCAATTTTCCCACGTCAAGGATGGCCTAATTCACACTAAGAAATAATATTATGGGGGAACACTGTAATACAAACAAACACACACACACACAAACACACACACACACACACACAAACACACACACACTCACACACACACACATATCCAATAATGAAAGGCATGATCTTGTCTGTCTGCCAGTTATTCACCATTATGCCTGTGGCCTATAAAAATTGTATGACTCATTTCAAAGTGAAGGTCATTACACCCTATCTCCTAAATTATTCTGACACAAAATAATTTTTCTAAACATAATTCTCTGAATAGGTTTTGATCTTCTATGGAGTCAGCACTTCTAACTACAGATGATTCATATGAAGTATATGACAAGACCCCTGCCCTCAAGGGAAAAGTGCAAAATACCCAACTAGAAATTGATATGTAAGTTAATTTAATCAAGTTGATTAGGTGATCAATGTTCTAGGCCATCAGAAAAAAAAATATTAGTGTTGATTCCAATAGCCTCAGAAAGCCCTCCTGGAAGACGGTTGATTAGAGTTGGATCTTGAACAATGGATACGATTTCTACTGAGGAGGACTAAGAAGGTAATTTAGGTCATTTAAAGAAGAAAGTATAACTACAGTAAGAGACCACAACATTAAAAGCGAGTTTTGGGGTTTGCAATAGAAAGACACAGAAAGTAATTTTGGGAAAACCCAGCTCACATCATGGTGGTGAGGGTTCTAGTAAGAGTATCATGATCTTAAAAAAAATGGCTCATGGAGTGGAAAGAAACTTGGTCAGAAGAACATGGTTCTGATTGTCATGGAACAGTTGGGGGATGAGGGTAAATTGTTAACCTCTCAGATTTAGCTTTCTCTTTTGCAATATGCTGGGCTTGGGCTAGATGCTTCGACAGTCGTCCTCAAATACCTGAGCAGAGAACAGCTGCAAAAGAATCACCTGTAAAACAGGGCTTCCCGATGTCTCTTCTGAGATTCTGATTCTTAAAGATCACAAGGTATTTATTTTGCTCAGGAGATTCTAACAAGAAGCCCAGATTTGGACACACTGGTGCTGGTGGCATAAGCATTCCAAGGTTGCTTGACCCTTGTCCTGGCTCATTTCAGGAAAAATAAGGAACATTTCTTCTTCCTTTGCTGAAGTATGCAGCATCAGTTATGGTGTTTACATGGTGCATTGAGCTTATCTGAAATCAGTAGTTTGTTTCTCCACTTCACCTGCTGATTGTGGTTCTTGGTTTAATCACTGGATATAGCATATGTTGGCAGAGCAACTCAGTAAAAAGATCCCTAACTTGATGAAATTTGAGCATAGCTATCTCTGCATGGGAGAAGGATGGATATCAGCCCTAGCAAAATCTGAGAAAATTTCCTCATCAAGCATCATGATTTCTCCTTGCATCTCCTACGAATGCAGGTTTTTCCTTTGACCTACCACTGAATTCTTTTTCAAATTCTGTACCTTGAAAGAAAAATGAGGAATTATAACAGAACCTTTCTGGGGATATACCAGTGTGCAATGCATTAGGGCTGCCCGTAAAATAAACACTTGTTGGAATACTCAGGACTGAAATAAAATTGAGTTTGAAAAATAAGCTGCTGCTTATAAATCAGAGGGTAGAAAACTATGACCAGTGAGCCAAGCCTGGCCCACTGCCTGTTATTCTAAATACACTTTTTTTCTGAAACACAGACACACCAATTTGTTTACACAGTGTCTATGAAAGCTCTTCCATTACAACAACAGAGTTTAGTTGTTGCTGTAGACGGTGTAGTCCACAAAGCCTCAAATATTTACTATCTGCCCCTTTACAGAAAATGTTTGCCAATCTTTGCTATAAACATTCTTTTGCCCCTGACATATTTTTGCTTCACAGGAAGTCTGTGGATAACACATGTCTGTAGTTGCTATCAAAACTCTTTATCTTCTCTTATTGTGGTAGCAAATAGAGTAAGACAAAAGTGAAGATGAGAAAGAATGTCATTGGTAAAAATTACAAACCATAATCATGAACTAAATGGAATTTTTGATGAGCAAAGTTACAAGAGAAGAAATGGATGAGCCACATTGAAAATTCAGCATTCTTTGAAACTTGTGACTATAAGCATTATAAAAAAGAAGCAATTAATTATAACTTCTTTATAAGTATCACAAATATCTCTTGGGCAACGGTCTCAAAAAATAAACAAAGATGTAAACATCCCTAGACTCTAGTAGACTGTTTATAACAGAATGCCAAATAATCAGGAAGGCTACATGGTATGTTAAATCAATACCAATGTGTGTTTTGTTTTTGTTTGTTGCTTTTTTTCATCACCCAGTAGAATACAGATGATGATTTATTTGGTAAAGCCAACATCATCCTGCACATTTTCTGGTGAGATTTGCTGCTGGTTTTGTGAGAAAGACTTGTCAACATTTTGTCAAACATTTTTATTAATCTGCACATTTCAGAATATATTTGTGGAATTCCTGGAAATGCTGAGTTTCGCTGTTCCTCAGTTTCAGTAAAATATAAGGTACCTCTCCCTGATGTAGGTTCCTAACAATCTCCAGGCGCACGTAGCCTTCAAAATCAATCCCACTTCATTCATTTTTCATCATATCTTACCAACAAGAAACACAGAGTCCCACCTGCTTTAACATTTCAGGTTATGATGTAAAATGTGCTGCTACAATCAAACCACTAACCACTAGATGACAGAGCAATTCCCCCACATGCAGAGTAGTTCAACTTGATGGTACTGGTTTTATACAGGGTGAGTTCACAATTCTGCTCAGGCAACTCAGCACAATCAGAAAACTATTGGGTAAAGGGATGCCATAGGTAATAGAAATGACTGTGCCAAATAGTCGGCAAATTAGAATATTTAAATAAAGAAGTTAATGGAAACGAAATTATAGAAAGTTTTTTCCTTAAACATTGTATAATTTTGGTTGATCTCAATAAAGACCCCAACTTTCTCTTCTTACAGAGCCTGTTGAACCCCAAATCTGCTTAGGCTTACAGCTGTTTACCCCAGACTAGATGCCTTGCTCCTAGGCAGCTGCTACCAATTAGAAGCTTCAGCCTGCAGCAAGGCCCAAGGCAAGGTGCATGGGGATTGACCTCCCCCTCATCAGAAATTATTGAAAACTTTTACATGATCCAAAGCACTGCTTCCGTTACTTTTTTGTTGTTGTTGTTGTTTTGTTTTTTGAGATGGAGTCTCGCTCTGTCGCCCAGGCTGGAGTGCAGTAGCGCGATCTCAGCTCACGGCAAGCTACGCCTCCCGGGTTCACGTCATTCTCCTGCCTCAGCCTCCTGAGTAGCTGGGACTACAGGCGCCCACCACCACGCCCAGCTAATTTTTTGTATTTTTTAGTAGAGATGGGGTTTCACTGTGTTAGCCAGGATGGCCTAGATCTCCTGACCTCGTGATCTGCCCGCCTCGGCCTCCCAAAGTACTGGGATTACAGGCGTGAGCCACCGCGCCCGGCTGCTACCGTTTCTTAATACTGTTGTACATGATCATTTTGTTGCTGCCTTCTGATGACCCTTTTCTCCTGTGTGATACCTCCCGGCTTTGAGCCAGCACTGTGTGCCTTGCTCTCTGCTCTAGTGATTGGACTTTTGGTAGTGCCTTTTTCACCTAATCTATGACCTACTCCCTGTCCAAACTTTCCTGTCAGTGGAGGCTTTGTAGAAAAATAAAGGCGCTCCAAATTGCTTAGTTCTTAAAGATTGGGAAGAAAATTAAAGCATCTGCCCTGTAATCCATTCACTTCTTGGTTAAGGAGAGAAGCATATAGAAAGCAAAAAAAAAGGTGACCTGAAGTAATCTCCAAGTCAATTCAATCCCCAAGCAAATAAACTAATATTTTTCAGGAAAAAGAGATCATATCTCTGAAATGTGCTTATTAAGATGTCCCTGGTTCAGTATTACCTAGAGTCAACAGAGCCCAATGACTGTGAGACATGGCTCTCTAGAGAATGTCATGTAGGTGACACTACTCTCTAAAGACATACAATGGAGATTTTTCATAATTTAAATGCTCTCCATGTCATAAGGTGCTCTTGGGGATCTCTCCTAGGGGCACTTTTCTGGAGAAAATGGAGGATCTTGGGAGAGGCCTTTGACATCCCTTTAATTCACCTGAGCCTTTGATTGCCTTAGCCTTGATACTTATTTAGTAATGCTTGATACTGGTATGATCTCTGAGTTGTTGGATTTGATAATTCAATACTATGCACTAGCACCGGATTCTGGCCCTTTTGTGAAACTACCTGGATTTGCTAGAAGAATCCTTGTCTTTCCCATTACTACCTGTGGGAGTTTGAGTGCATCAACTAATCCTAATCTTTCAGTCATGTAATTCCCCTATGCTTAAAATAGTGATGATGAATAGTTTCTATTTTGAATTAGTTGATATAAACTTAAAACAATGATTGAGTCAATGTATTATTATTAATATTCAATTCAAGATGTTCTGCCTAGTACCATTTAACATGAATTATTTACCCACTGCATGCCAGACTCTGTTTTAAGCACTAAGAATCCTTTCTCCTCTAATAACCCTGTAAAGTAGAGAGCAGTATTTATACAAATACAGAAAAAGAGGCAGATACTGAAGTTTTCGCTATGTACTCTCAAACCATATATTTCATCTGCTATAAAATATAATTAGACATAATTTCTTTCATCCAAAATAAAGTAATCTCTAGTATCTTGCTACTCTAAATATGGTCTACAACATCTGTTTCTCCTGAGCCCCAGGAGAGGCCTTCTATATCCAAATCTGCATGTTTAATGAGATCTCTGTACAATATTCATGCACATTAAAGTTTGAAAAGTATTTCCAGGGCACAAACTCTGTCTCCTACCATGAAGCTTAGTGGGTCTTGTGTCTCCTTCCCCAAACTTCTGTCCTCCATCCCAGGGTTCAGCAAAGAGGAGGTCATATAACCCAAGATTGGACTCTTTATCTGTATTAATTAGTTTTGCTGTGAATTTAGCTGTTTATTTCTCATATCATTAAAAAACTAGCAAGGCCTAGTGGCATGTGACTATAGTTCCAGTTACTTGGGAGGCTGAGGCAGGAAGATCACTTGAGTCCAGGAGTTCAAGTTTAGCATGAACAACATAGCGAGAACCTGTCTCAAAAACAAAATAAAACAAAACAAAACGCTGTACTTATTATGTGCCATAATTTATAATTAAATAGTAAATTTTTATTGACTATAAATTTTTATTAGGCTATAAGGTTTAATCTTTACCTACATGTCTGACAGTCATTCAGTCATTTCACTGATGATTAGTGGCAATACTAATAATGGAAGAATGTAAAAGAGAAAATAAAGGAGTCAGTTTAAGAAAAAGCATGTTTCTTAACTGAGCTATTTATCTAATAAATGAATTACCCAAATTTCACTGAAAATCAAATACATGAGACTCTTGTTTTCCATCTTTGTTATAAAAATGGGAAATGTAATAACCCCAAAGGAGAAAACATTATATTCACAAAATCCATAAAATTTTCTAGCATAACAGAGATCAGAGCATTCTGGATAATGGATTAGCTTAAACTCAAGGAAAGACAAGTACAACCAAGGATACAGGAATGGGAGCCTGGACTTACCCCTGGTAGAGAATAGATTAAAATGGAATCTTAACAGAAGTAGGTAGAAAGAATTTTGCTAGCATTTTAAATAAATCACAAAAGGCTAAATGTGGTCCTACTTGGTAGCTGCAGATAGAAAAGGAGTTTGCACGCACTCACAAGGTCTTTTTCATAGATTACCACCAGATGTTCGTGAGAAAGACTGTGAGCAGGGCGGGAGAATGCCAAACTTGGTGCTATACAACTGGAAGAGAGGAATAACTACTGCTGTAAGAAATACATGAAGCCTAACCAAGTCTCACCCACTCCAAGGTACAAAAATTTTAACTTGCTGAAGGAGGTATAGCAAAATCTGCCCACCCCTGGTCAGAAATGAAGACCCAATGTGACCAGAAAAAATAAAACGAATAAAACCCCCTGTTTCCTGGGCCCAGACAATTACAAGTCTCAGTTGAGGAAGGGGCTTGGGTCATTGACAAAACCTCACTCCTTAGACTGAGGGGCGTAAGGCTTACATAATACGGAGACTAAGTAAGTACGACAGAGAAACTTGCCTGTGCCCTCCACCCACCCTAGGATAACAAGCATCTCATAACAAGCAGCAACAATCCATATCTGGAAGAGGGAAAGAACACAGAGAGAAATGCGGAAAGAACATTGAGGAAAATCCTCTTTCGAATCTACTTGCAATGAACACAAAAATGATACTAGGAGAATTTGAAGTCAGTGATTTATTAGTGTACTGTTGTTGCTCTAGTTTTACAGAATCTTTTATTGTTTTAATTGACAAAGAGAAATTGTATGTATTTATGGCATACAGTATGATGTTTTGATATTTGTGTACATTGCAGAATGGCTAAATTAAGCTAGTTAACATATATATTACCTCACATGCTTATCATCTTTTGGTGAAAACATTTAAAATCTACTTTTAACAATTTCTGAGTATATGATATATTGTTATTGACCATAGTCACCGTGATGCGCAATGGACCTCTTGGACTTACTCTTCTGGTCTAAATGAAATTTTGTATTCTTTGACCAAGACCTCCACAATCCCCCTAAACCCCTAACCTCTGGTAAGCCCCATTCTACTCTCTGCTTCTATGAGTTCAACATTTTTAGATTCCACATATCAATGAGATCATGTGGTTTTGATTATTTTTGTTTTTTTTTTTTTGTGCTTGGCTAATTTTGTTTTTACTTTAATGTTCTCCAAGTTCATTTATGTTGTTGCAAATAAGAGGATTCTCTTGTTTTATAAGGCTGAGTGGTATTCCATTGTGTATATATACCACATTTTAAAAATCTATTAATGTTAACTGTAGTAAAAGCAAAAACAAATAAAGAACCCTCAAACTCAGCTTAACTGCTAAATAAATTGACACAACCACTTACACTGATATTCTAGTAGAAGTGTTTCTATTTCCAAGCATAAATAATATTTACCTCAGTTTTTACTATTCCACATATTATAACATCAATTAAAAAAATTATATGCCCAAAAAGCATATCACAGTTTGCATTGTCAAGGGACAATCCAATTCACACCTCCAGACTCAGAGATGATACAGATGTCGAAATTATCAAATAGGAAGTTGAAAATAACTATGATTAATGTGTTAACGTTTCTAGAGATAAAGGTAGACACCATGTTATGGTTCTGCTCTGTGTCTCCACCCAAATCTCATCTTCAATTGTAATCCTCATGTGTCAAGGGAGGGACCTGGTGGGAGGTGATTGGATCATGGCGGCAGTTTCACCAGTGCTGGTCTCATGATAGTGAATGAGTTCTCATGGGATCTGATGGTTTAGAAGTGTCACTTCCTGCTTCGTTCTCTCTCCCTCTCCTGCAGCCCTATGAAAAAGGTTCTTGCTTCCCTTTCTCCTTCCGCCATAATTGTAAGTTTCCTGAGGCCTCCCCAGCCATGTGGACCTGAGTCAATTAAACTTCTTTTATTATAAATTACCCAGTCTCAGGCAGTATCTTTATAGCAGTGTGAAAACAGACTAATACAGAAAATTGGTACTGGCCAAGTGGGGCACTACTATAAAGATAACCTGAAAATGTGGAAGTGACTTTGGAACTGGGTAATAGGCAGAGGTTGGAACAGTTTGGAGGACTCAGAAAAAGACAGGAAGATGTGGGACAATTTGGAACTTTCCTAGAGACTTGTTGAATGGTTTTGAGCAAAATGCTTACTAATACACACCATGCATAAAATAAACAGGGAAATTTAAAAAAAGAGCATGGAAATTGTAAGGAAGAGGGAAGTGTAAGAAATTTTAAGCACCATGACAGACATAAAGAATGTCTTCAACAGGCTAAACTTAAATATGAATCAGTAGAAATTATCTAATAGGAACACAAAAGTAAAAAATAAAATAAAGGAGAGTAAAAAGCAAAATGAGCAAGCCATACACGAGCTGTGGAATAGTATCAAATGGTTTATCATATGTACAGTTGTAATCTTAGAAAAATAAGAGAGAAATAATAAAGCAGAAGAAATACTTGAAAATATATCAAGCATTTTTAAATATAAGAAGACATTAAATCAGAGATCCAAGAATCTCAAAGGACCCAAACAGAATAAGTACTGAAATGCCCACACATGCATATTCACACACACACGCCCTCCAAAACATAACAAAACCATAGTCTAATTAGTGAAAACTAATGTTAAATTTAAAAAGAAAGAAAATATTGAAAGTTGTTAGAGAAAAGGACATAATACACATAAAGGGACAAGGATAAAAACTACAGCAGACACCCTGACAGAATCAATAAGGCAGAAGACATTGAGGTGATGTCTTTAAAGTGCTTAAAGAAAAAACAAATCAACCTAGAAAATCTACTCCATGAAAATATCGAAAATATCTTTCAAACATGAAAGCCAAAGAAAGACTTTTTTTCCCCTGAAACACAAACTTGTGTGAAGCTATTACCAATTCACTTCGGATCTATACTATATAAGAAATGTTAAAGAAAGTTCTCCATGTAGAAGAGATATAATAACAAGCAAAAAAAAATTGGCTATGCTATAAAAAGATTTCCAGAAATGGCTAAAATTAAAAAAAAATCATAAAAGACATTTTTCTCATTTTAAACCTCTTAGAAAATAATTGACTGACTACAGCAAAAAGAGTAGCAAAGTATTCTGAGTTCGTAAAATAAGTCAAAGTAAAATATATGACAATAGCACAAAAAAAATGGATAGGTGAAATTCTTGGTATACCGTAGCAAGATCTTTATACTACAATTGAGTGGGTATACAATTATTTGAAAGTTGATTATGAATCATCTAATGTGTATGTTTTAAATGCTAGAGAAATCACTAAAATGATTTAAAAAGAGGAATAAGTAATAATTCCATGTTTGAAAATAATAAGGTCTCATTAAACTAATTAAATAATAAACCAGACAGAAAAGAAGACAAATAAAAAATACATGAAATAAATAGAACTATGAGTATCAAGCATATGTATAAATGCCATCATAAAATTTATCCTTTACAATTGAAATGGTTTTCTAATCTCTTTATTTAATATGCTTAATTTCAAATTTCAATATATTAAACCCTACAAATATTGCTGTATTTGTAGTAAATTATCAATGAAAACATTTATAATTCAAATTGAATAAAAGTAGGTCTCCATACATAATTATTATTGTTATCAGAAATAAGACTATAATTTATATAAGATAGTAGTTATGAAGTTCAGTAAAGGACATTAATATTTCATATTTTTTGAAAACTCCTCCAAGGATCTGCAAATTTTCCCTAATTTCCCTTTTTGGAATTAAAACAGCATTTCTCAAATTCTTCCTTGGCACAATAATGTATAGGATAATGTGTACTCATGCTGATAGTTTCAAACAAAACAAAGATGCAAAGTTGTTCACAAAATGAACAGTATTACAAATAGACTACAATAACAATTTTGCTTAGTTTATATGTACACTTTAATTAGCACGAACATATTTGTAGTCCAAGATATTATATCTTTTTAAAAATTCTTGTAATGCTGGTGCTCGCAATTACTTTTGCACCGACCTAATATTAGTATTTTGGTGTGCCACCTAGAGAAAAAAATTTAAAAAACACCTTCATAATGGCAAAATACTTGATGCGACATTGTTGATGTTGCCTTGTCAGCATTAAAGTAATAATTAAAGTAATGCAAAACTGCAATTACTTTGTAGTTTTAAAACTCCTAATAAAACCCCTTAATTTACAAAAATTGTATTTAAATTGTATATCTCCAGTGTTACAAAATCCTAGTTATCTGACTTTTAATTTAATGAATCAAGTTAATAGAGGTTCTCAAGCAGGCATGTTAAAATACCCGAGTGAAATGAGAGGCAAAGAGGCCAGATGAAGAAGTCTGGGTTTTGGTGCCACAGGAATACACCTTCCAGCTTAGTCACTGACAAGTGTTCTGACGCTGAACAAGTCAGTTGAAACTTAGTGCCTCTGTTTTCTCATAGCAATTTTTAGTTTAATTAGTTTGTTGACTAGGGAAGAAAATTAGTATGAAAGCACTTGAGCATTGGATGAACTCACAGTTATTTGAAATAATGGAGAGAGAGAGAAGATACGTCTTGTAAGTCTTCAATGTATAATGAATCAAGTCAGGTGATTTTTCGGACAATAATATACATGTGGTATTCATCTTTCTGTGCCTGGTGCCTAACTTACTTAACTTAACGTCCTCCAGGTTTATCCATGTTGCTGCAGAATGACAGGATGACAGGATTTCATTCTTTTTACAGTTGAATAGTATCACATTGTATATATATATATGTGATACACACACACACACATATATATACACACACACACACATATACATATAGATACATACCACATTTTCCTTATCTATTTGTTTATGGACAATTAGGTGATTCCATATCTTGGCTTTTGTGAACAGTGCTACAATAAACATGGGAGTGCAGATATCTCTTCACCATACTGATTTCCTTTTCTTTGAAAAAAATATATATACAAATAAGAAATATATATTCAAAGAAAAATAGAATTATATATAGATATATATATACACACACACACACATATATATGGGGATACATATATATATATATATATACACACATACAGTAGTGAGATTTCTGGATCATATGCTAGTTCTATTTTTAACTCTTTAAGAAATGTCCATACTGTTTTTCATGGCTGTCCTAATTTACATTTCCAAGATGGTGTATGAGTTCCTTTTTATTCCCATCCCCATAAGCATTTGTTATTTTTTGTCTTTTTGATAATAGCCATTCTAACTGAGGTGAGATGATATCTCATTGTGGTTTTAATTTGAATTTTCCTAATGTTTAGTGACGTTAAGCATTTTCCCATATATTTGTTGGTCATCTGTATGTCTTCTTTTGAGAAATGTCTTTCAGGTCCTTTGCACATTTTCTAATCCGATTATTTTTTATTTTTTGCTATTGTTTGAGTTCCTCAAATAGGGATAATAATCTGTTATTGGATGAATAGTGTGTAAAAATTTTCTCCCATTCTTCAAGTTGTCTCTTTTCTCTGTTGATTGTTTCCTTTGTTGTGCAGAATCTTTCTAGCTCATGTGATCTGACTTGTCCATTTTTGTTTTGGTTGCCTGTGCTTTTGAAGTCTTTCTCAAGAAATCATTGTCTAGACCAATGTCCTGGAGTGTCTCCCCAAGTTTTCTTCTAGTAGTTTCTTAGTTTTAGGTCTTATATTTAAGTCTTTAATTCACTTTTATTTGATTTTTGTGTAGTGGCAAATAGGGGTCCAGTTTCATTCTTCTGCATATGGATACCCAGTTTTTCCAACACCACTTATTGAAAAGGGTGTGCTGTCCCCAAAGTATGATTTTGGTGCATTTGTCAAAAATCTGTTGTCTTTAAATGTGTGAATTTATTTCTGGGTATTTTATTTGGCTTACTTGGTCTATATGCCTGCCTTTATTCCATTACCATACTGTTTAGGTTACTATAACTTTATCATATATTTTAAAGACAGGTAATGTGATGCCCCAGCCTTGTTTTTTGCTCAGTATTACTTTGACTATTTAGGGTCTTTTGTGACAGCATATAAATTTTAGGATTTTTTTCTATTACTATGAACATTGTTATTGGTATTTTGTTAGGTTTTGCATTGAATCTGTAGATCACTTTTGTTGTATGGTCTTTTTAACAATATTTATTCTTCTGATCAATGAACATGAGATGTCTTTCCATTTTTGTGCATCCTCTTTGATTTCTTTCATCAGTGTTTATAGGTTGCATTGTAGAGACCTTTCACCTCCTTGGTTAAAGTTATTTCTAGGTCTTTTATTTAAAAATTTTTTGTAGCTAATATAAATGAAATTGCTTTCTTCATTTTCAGCTAGTTTGATTTTGCTGTATAGAAATGCTAGTGCTTTTTAATGTTGATTTTCCATCCTTAAACTTTACTGAATTCATTTATCAGTGCTAAAAGTTTTTTAGTGGAATGTTTAGGTTTTCCTATATGTAAGATCATGCTGCCTGTAAACAGACAATTTGACTTCCTGCCTTTCCAATTCAGATGCTTTTAATTTCTTTCTCCCACTTAATTGCTCTGGCTAGGACTTCCAGTACTATCTTGGCTAAGAGTGGTAGAAGTAAACATCCTTGTCTTGTGGTCAGTTCTAAGAGAGAAAGCCTTCAACTTTTCCTTGTTCAGTATGATGTTTGCTGTGGGTTTGTCATATATGGCCTTTATTGTGTTTAGATATGTTACTTTTATATCTATTTATTGAGAATTTTTATTATGACAGGATGTTGGATTTTATCAAATGCTTGTTCTGAGTTTATTGAGAAGATCATATGATTTATGTCCTTCATTATTCTGATGTGGTGATGTATCTTATTTATTGATTTGCATATGTTGGACCACTTTTGCATCATGGGTATAAAATATTTTTGATATGTTGTTGGATTCAGTTTACTAGTATTTTATTGAGAGTTTTTGCATGTATGCCCATCAGTAATATTGGCACATAGTTTTGTTGTTGTCGTTCTGTATTTGTTTAGTTTTGGTATCCAGGCAATGCTAGCTTCATAGATTGAGTGTGGAAGAATTCATTCCCCTTCCATTTTTTGGAATAATTTTAGAAGAATTGCTGTTAGTTCTTCTTTTAAATATTGGTGGAATTCAGCAGTAAAGTCATCTGGTCCTAGGCATTTCACTGTTGGAAGACTTTTTTTATTACTGATTCTATTTAATTATTTGTTATTAGACTGTACAGTTTTACTATGTCTTCCTGGTTCACTCTTGGTAGGTTGTGTGTGTTCAGAATTTATCCATTTCCTCTATGTTTTCCAATTTTTTGATATACAGTTGTTCACAATATTCTCTAACTATACTTTGTATTTTTGTGGTATCAGTTGTAATGTCTCATTTTTTTGTTTTTTTTTTTTTGTTTTTTTTTAGCTATAGTCAACTTTGGCAATTCCTGCAAATGCCTCATAACTTAGGCGATAGGAGTTCATGTGGTTTGTCTGCCTAGTGGGACTCAACTCCCCTGAGGGCAGTGCACTCAGCTGGTCTGTTCTTCCAGGCAAGAGTGAGGCTAATCGGCCTGCAGCTAGACTTGGTTGTTTCTGTTTTATTTTTAAGTGATTTAAACATGCAACTTTTGAACTTTTTTTTGGAGGGAGGATTTATCATTTTCAAAATTGTAAATGTTCATTTACAGCCAGTGTGACATCTAGTCAGCACTCTAAAATTTTTTATTTAGTTCCATGGATGAGAGTTGAAACTGCTCTGAAGATTAATGTAGCTTTTTCTCACTTTTCTTTAAATAACTAATAATTGTTGAAGAGAAAAATCACTCATATGACTATCTCACTACTTAGCATGCATTGTAAATAATTAGCTATAACATATTAATATGCTAACCATATATTTGGACATCCTGTTTATTTTACGTGGGTAAAATGCACCTTTTAAGTCTACAAATTTTTAGTGATTTAATTTCACTGGAAAAAATATCACTTTATTTAGCACATTTTGTGAATTATGCAACTAATTGAAGTTATTTACTCCTTATCTGAAAGAAGAGAATGTAAATGAAGGAGCTAAAAATAAGTGATTTATCTATCATAAGAAATATCAGTATTTAATATAGATAAATACTGCATATTTGAAATCAGAAACTTGTATATACTTAACATGAAAATCCATTTATGTTTGACGAACTCATGGCAAGAGGGCATGTGCACTATCGGCTCGACAGCAAACCAGTAAATCCTGAATGTGATGTTATTAATATCACAATCTTGCTCTTAATTTCTAAACTTTCTAGATATCTAATATTTCAAATTCTATAGTAAATCAAACGGTTAGAAATTTAGGGAGTTAGACTCTACCTATAGTTGATAGGCTACTACATAGGCTACTAGATAGGCTCTTTGTGGCATATAGGGAAAAGAAGGTCTCTTTTTCTTAAAAACATTCTACATCTTACGTTTTCAGAAAATAAATTTGATAAACTGTTTATACCAGTTTTTAAAAAAATTCAGTACCTTCTGTTTTCAAATTATATTTGTTCATTTAATGGTATTTATTTTTATTTTATTTTATTTATGTGAGAGGTCTCAACTCTGTCACCCATGTTGGAGTGCAATGGTGCAACCATGGCTCACTGCAGCCTTGAACTTCTAGGCACAATCCTCTCACCTAAGCCTCCCAAGCAGCTGGGACTAAAGTTGCCTGCCACCATGGCTGACTTTTTTTTTTTTTTTTAATTTTTGTGAGCTGGGGTCCCACTATGTTGCCCAGGCTCAAATTTCTAACCTCAAGTGATCCTCCTGCCTCAGCTTCCCAGAATGCTGAGATTACAGGTGTAAGCCATCACACCAAGGCTGTTTAATGCTATTTAGATGTTTCATTAAGATGTTAATTTATATTTCTCTAAGTCGAAAATTTGATTATTACAAGTGCTCTTGCAATATGTTGATTTTTAGACTATCCTATATAAAAGTCATTATCACCCTTAAAACAAATTTTGTATCCACATTTAAAAGAGACAATTTGTGATAATATAGAAAATTTAAAAACACAGATTTACTAGTAAGACTCTCCTTTTACTTACAAAGATTTAACCCTTTCAAAAATAATCAGCAAAAAAAAAAAAAGGAGTGAAGGAATTACTGGATATTTAGGTATAACCCACAAATTTGTGTAGTGGAGCTATTTAGTTGATTAATTTCTCCTTATCCATACAAGTTATGTTGAGAAACTTACTGACTTCCAGGAAACTGCAGGATACTTGATAACTTATTTTAATTAATTAATTAATACCCTAAATACATTGGTTAAAGATTAAATAAACTGAATTACTTAGTCCAAATCACAACAACTGATGGGTAGTTGCAAATTAATATAACCTAACAGTGGTTTAAGTGTTAGAAATCTCTGAATAATGTAGCGTAACTTTTGTTTCCATGCATGTGGTTTCCAAAAGGAACAATACAAAAAGGAATATCCACGTAAATAAATGAAATTTAAAACTACAACACCCTAATACTCTGCAGATTAACATTATTTTTATCATTTTGAAGGTGACTGAGACAACATTACTTATGTTGTTTTCTACCAACACTAGAATATTGGAGACATTCTGTCAAGAGTGATGTGACTTGCCTCCTTCAAAGTTGGATTATCTAGACTTTTTCTTGGCCACACAAGCTAAACTCTCATTTTTGCTCATGCAATTTAGTTTTGTTCATTTATTTTTCCAACTTTTTCTTAAAACATCATTGAATCTAATGAAAAAGACTAGCACACTTATATACATATTTAGATATAAGATATGATTTGAATGCTCTAGGGCTATGTTCATAAGATTTTTTTCCCCAAAACTTTTCTGCTACATTTTATATTTTTTTCTTTGGGAGTCTGATATAAATTTTCAACTATTTCTAAAACTTCAAACTTAAATTCACCTTTTATTAATTACTGTCTACTCCTCTCATGTTTTGATGCTTCATTCCTTCAATAACAATTCGTTGGTTGTCATTCCCTCTACCTATCTAGCTGTTTCTCCCTTCTGTGTCTTTGCAAATGGCCACGAATGGCTGTAAAGCCACTTTTTTTCATCTGACTGACTTCTAGTCAACCTAGTCAGATTGAGCTCAGGTTTCACCACTGGAAGAAGCCTACCCTGATCTAGACCATTGTGCTCTCTTGTATCTCCCAGGGTAAGAACACTTAGTAGCATGAATATTCTCATCTTTTCACCAGATGGTGGAGCTCCTCGAAGGTAAGGTTGTGGATTAACTATATATGTAGCACCAGTGTTGAGATCACTTTACACTCAGTAAGAATATGTTGAAAAAATCAATTAATAGATGAGTAATCAATTCAATAGATGTCTGGATGAATTAATGAATAAATGCAGAATGGCCATGTGTTGATTGTCTGTACTTCAACCCATTCTCTTGGTAAGCGGTGCTAAAAGCCATTTTTTTAAAGTAGTTTTGTTGTCATTTTCTGAAACACTCCACTATATAATTTAAAATGGCACTTTTGATTTGGTTTGTATATTTTAGCAAAAAGACACTATAATTCATTCTTATGACAATCATCAGTTTTTTTGACATTCCACATCACTGGGATAAACCTGAGCTCATTTCCAGCTTCAAGGTGCATTATGCTAACAGATTTTTATATGTACTGTCATGGATCATAATTGTTTCAAAGAAAGACCTGCTATTTTGATTAATAGAATCTATTGGTTGGAGATATGTGTTTAATGTAAATAAGTCTGTTTATATCCAAATGATAGGCAGATAAGTTACTTTTGTCCTAAAATCATTTCAATGAGTGATTCTCAGGACTCTATATTTGTTTGAAAATAACTAATGATTTTGAAATTTCCCAGATATTGTATATATTTAGAATGCCAACTTTTATTTTCTTTTTAGTAAAGCAGTATGAATACGTGCCACCCTTCTTTCTAAAACAAACAAAAATGTCGCCTTAATTCACCTTGTGCATGGACTTAAAACAGTTTACAGCAAAAAAAAGAAATGTTGATTATTGCTTTGCACAATTGTAGTAGCCTCATTTGTCTTATTACACAGCTTGAGATGGTTTCACATCAAATTAAAAATGTAGGTTATTCAAAGGATTAAGATTGCTAGTTCAGCCTGAAGAAATTTCAAGCTCATGCATATTAAGAATTTTATTTCTTTATGATTCTACTGTAAACCATTTTTCATAAGAGTGATAATTATATATGCTATCCTTTTGATAGCATTTTTAATTAAATTGTTAAAAAATAAACCCAACATGTCCACTAGAGAACGGAAATCTTAAGACAGTAACTGTTAGTGACTGACAAAGTAATTAAACTTTTCAATGTCATAGAGCAGTAATTTCCAAAAATGCATTCCACAGACTGCTAATTTACTTGGATATTAATGTGCAATATTTAAATAATAATTCAGTAATCACATAAATTAAAAAACACTTAGTTAAACTCTTATGTGAGTTTTATTAATGCAGAAGTTCTCAAAGTTCGTTATATGCAATATAAAATTGGAAACAGCTGTCATTAAGGGTATCAATGAGAAGAAAAATATTTGAAACTGTTCAATCATCAATTTACTTTTTAGCCCTACTTAACATTGCAATTACTCTCTTTTATTTTCCCAATTCATTTATTTCCCAATTTATTCCCCAATTCATTTATTTATTTCCCAATTCATTTATTTAATTACTGAAGAGATAATACATTTACAAGCATCAAATAAAAATGTATAACCAAGTATAAAGTAAAAACCTTCCTTCAAGCAACTTCATACTTTTATCCACTCTCCCCACCTAGATATTCAATGTCAGTAGTTTCCAGTTTAACCCTCCAATTTCTTTATGCATAGACTAGTGTGTGTATATATATATACACTAGTATATATAGAGATGTATATATCTATATACAGACATATAGATATCTTCCCTGTTTTTTTTTTATTATACTTTAATTTTTAGGGTACATGTGCCTATTGTGCAGGTTAGTTACATATGTATACGTGTGCCATGCTGATGCGCTGCACCCACTAACTCGTCATCTAGCATTAGGTATATCTCCCGATTCTATCCCTCCCCCCTCCCCCCACCCCACAACAGTCCCCAGAGTGTGATATTCCCCTTCCTGTGTCCATGTGATCTCATTGTTCAATTCCCACCTATGAGTGAGAATATGCGGTGTTTGGTTTTTTGTTCTTGCGATAGTTTACTGAGAATGATGATTTCCAATTTCATCCATGTCCCTACAAAGGACATGAACTCATCATTTTTTATGGCTGCATAGTATTCCATGGTGTATATGTGCCACATTTTCTTAATCCAGTCTATCATTGTTGGACATTTGGGTTGGTTCCAAGTCTTTGCTATTGTGAATAATGCTGCCAAGATTAGCACACAAATACGTAGATTATAATATTCAAACACACCTTGTCCTTTTACTTAACAGAACATTCCAGAAATCTTTCCAAATTAGTACATAGATAGCTTTCTTGTTTTTTTCTTTCCTTTTTAACAGCTATATAGAATTCAGCTCTTTAGCTACAATAAAATTGATTTTCATCTAGAGCAGAATATTAAGTTGTTAATAAAATATTTCTACTGCAGACAATAAATTACTTTGCATCCATGCTGGTATATTTTCTTTGCATCCATGCGGTATATTTAAGGGATGACTTCACCAATGTAAAATTTCCAAGTAAAAAAGGATTATATTGAGATTTTGATAGATGTTATTCAATCGCCACCCATAGTCGTTACACCAAACATACCATACTAGAAGAACAGTCTGGTCAATAGAAAATGATGCCACTTACTTTGGTTTTTCCAGTGAGAAATACTATATCAGTGTTACTTTAATATGTATTTATCTTAATCTGAGCATAGTTGAATGTATTTCCATTGGTTAAAGAGTCATTTGTATTTCTTGTTCTGTCTTTTTATATGTTTCGTCCATTTCTCTATTAGATTCATATTCATCTTTTTTTTAAACTTTGGTGGACCTTTTTTATATACCAGAGAAATATATACAGATAGACTTGTCTGTCTCATTAAACTTATTCCATGTCATTTAATTATTTTACGTTACTGTATATAAAAGGTGAAGTTTTCCTCCATATTTATCTTTCAATTTTATGAAGTTTCTTATGATTTATTGTAGTTTTTTATAGGATTTCTCTCATATATTTATATTAATATAATCAATAATCATAGTTATGATTGTATTATAATTATATTAAATCACTTAATCTAATATTATAGCATATTAATAATATTGATGTTATGTTATAGTAATATATATTACACATCACATGTTAATTTAGTTCTATAACATCTGTTAATTATATCTTGAGTAAAGATAATTTCACTGCTTCTTTACATTTTTTTAACTTAAGACCCAGAAACAATGTCAAGTAATAGTTTTGAAAGTTGGAAGATGGATCTTATATTTTTCAACGCCTTAGAAATGACCACACGATTCCCCAGTTAGATATATAGTAATATGGAGAGCTATATTAATAAATTCCTGGAATTCAAATTTTTTGTGGCTCCTTGTATAGATTTTAATTAGTCATGGCATATTATTTTTAAGGTTTCATTGTAAATAATAGTTATTATTAATTTCTAACTTTTGCCCTGACAATTCCGTAACTTTCTTTATAATTATACTCTTCCAAATCTTTTGATGCTTCTTATTTTTGTTCATCCATATGACCTAAGGCAGATCATAGATGTTTTTTCAGCTCTAACTTGTGTTTTGTGTAATCTACCAGTTATCGTATCCTGCTTATTTTGATAAATTTTGTGTTTAAATTTGATAAATTATTTTTTAAATTCTTCATTTTTATTTTTGCTTACATTCAAAAGGTGAAGAAAACCTGTCCATCGCTTTTTTCTTTGAGTTCTCTTTCAAGTGGCTTCTAGACCACAGTATTTTCCCTTCTTTCTTTGTGCCTGGCTCCCCAACTCGCTTGTCGAATTACCTTCCCTTATCTAGCCAGTAACTGTGAGAGTTCCTCTAGCTTTGTTTATGAGCCTCCTTCTCTCTTCATTATATATTCTCTTCCTGGGCTCTTTAGTGAGTACTCTTTAGGGGGAGTACTCACAAATTTATAACTCCAAGTCTATAGTCCCCTAAACTTTTCAGACATATATAGGATTTTTTGATACAATCGAACCTGATCTCATCATCTTCTTCCCCTACATCAAGTGTAGTGGAGAGACTCTAGATTGACACTCTGATTCTTGTTTCCTAATGTTCATGCCCTTCTGTGTTATTTTCCCAGTTGAATATGGCTGGAGTTTCCTTCTAAACAACAGAACAAAATATGAGTTACATAATGTACATGATCATGTGTCCATGTTTATGTCAGGTGAGATGTAGTACCCATCTTGTTAGTAAATTATCTTTCCCTTGCTGATTTTTGGAAGTAAGCAGCCATTATGGGAAGGAACTGAGCCTCACCTCTAGCTGATAGCCAATAGGAAACTGAGGCCCACAATAGATAGCTATTGAGAAATTGAATACCACTAACAGCCACTGAGCTAAAAGGTTAATTATTTTGTAACCAAGGTTTGGATGATACTGAAGCCCCAGCCAAAACTTTTACTGGAACTTTTTGAGCTTCTAAAGCAGAGGACCCAGCTACATCATGACCAGATTATTGACACAAAAACTGAAATAATATGTGTCTTGTTTTTAGCCACTAAGTCTATGTAATAAAGTTATGTAATCAGCACAATAGATAACTCGTGTCAAGCATTTTGCCAGATCTCCTATCACAGTGAGCTTACTCTTCCTCAGTCAGATACGCAAGGAGAGAGACCTAAGATGCTTCCTCATTATTCTCTACCTGCTTTTCTCTGCATTTATTCTATTACCTAAGTGTGTAATGAATCTATTCCATCTCCATCACTAAAAGAACAGGTCAACCTCAGAACATTTGTGACCTTGTTCTCTTAAGTCTAGTTTATTCAGGATATCTCTAGTTTAGTTCTAGTCTTTTCTCTGCACCCAGGCTATTCTTAACACAAGAATAGAATCATTTTATTCCTCTTCTAAATATTTGTTGAATGGCTTTCCTTCTTCACCAACAGCACAATCTTTAATTGACTCATAGGCTTTGAAAGCCTGGTTTTTCTTCAATCCTACAGTCTAACATGCTTTCTTTGCCTTTGCCGTATAGGTCTGCTTTCTGTCACTGGACAGTGCTTATGTTTTTTATTCACTAGAGATAACTTTGTTCCTGCTTTTGGTAGTTAAATACTACACATCCATTTAATCTCCTTTCAGTTGTCACTTCTTTTGTTGACTTCTCAGGTTAATAAGAACCTTATAATGTTAAGTACCTTTTGTCGGTATGATATTTTACAATTGCTGTTTTAAACACTTACCTTCATAATTGCTTCATGAATTCCCTTGAAGAGACATATCAGTTGACTCTCCAAGGTAGTCTTAGGTCACACAATAGAGTGTTACGTAAATGTACATTAAATGAATGAAGTGTGAGATTTCCAAATGCAGTTAATCATGAAACCCTCACTTTGAGGTCAAATAGCCTACAGGACTACATTTCTGACAAATAAGCTTTGGAAATTAGTGCATAGAACGACAAAGCTGAAAAGGAAACTTTAAAGATGAGTTGAATTCCTTCACTGGGCAGACGACAGACCTGGTGCTAGGACAAGTTAAGGACTTGGACAAACCCACAAAACAAGGAATTGACAGGGCTGAAATTAGAATAGGAATCTCTTGACTAACTATAGTTTTGTTTTTATGTTGCAATAGAATAAAAAAATTCTGTAATTTTTTGTGTTTTTTAAATATTAGAATTTTCACACAATGAAACTGTTTTATGAATTACAAGAAAATAGGCAAAGCTCTCTGACCGTAATTTTAAAAAACTTTCAAAAAGACAGTTGAAGAGATAGATGCATTGTGAAAAATATTCATTTCATAAAAAAGACTTCATTTAAATGCATTTCCAGAATAAAATGCAAATTATCTTTGCAGGAATAAAAATAAGGTTTTTTACCCATCTGAAAGCCTACCATTCTATCTTAATCATCACTACTATTTCTTACTAAGAGTGGAAAATCAATTTCCTATTTACTTTTACTTTTCCCTGTGATGGATGAGTCTTGGTCAACGGGGCCTTCCATGAGGTCTTCAGAATCAAAGTTAGAAAACATTCTTGAAACAAATCTCTATGTGGCCCAGGAGATATTTTGTAGCATGTAATGACAATCAAGTTAGAAGAAATTTCAGCTTTCTAAATTATTTACCATACTAATTTTAGTGTTCTGAAGCCAAATTTGTTTAATTAAAAATGGAGGCTATTTTTAATTGCCTGAAAAATTGTTTAGTGTCTGTGTGAAAAATCATTGCCCCTAAAAACAGTTCAAGACCATTAGAAAACTGTGCCATCCATTGATTTCACTTGGCTATACCGACCTATTCTGAACTCTGGAAACAAACTGGGCAAGTTTTCATCAATCCCACTTGACTTGTCCAAAGTTCATTATGGATTTGGGAACAGATGGGCTGCCTATAACGTCCAAAAATATCTGATGTTCTGGTTATATCTACTTTCATATTGTGCAATGTTTTACATTGAGAGGAGGAAAAATAATTCTTTTTATTTATTTATTTATTTATTTATTTATTTTTATTATTATAATTTAAGTTTTAGGGTAGATGTGCACATTGTGCAGGTTAGTTACATACGTATACATGTGCCATGCTGGTGTGCTGCACCCACTAACTCGTCATCTAGCATTAGGTATATCTCCTAATGCTATCCCTCCCCCTTCCCCCCACCCCATAACAGTCCCAAGAGTGTGATGTTCCCCTTCCTGTGTCCATGTGATCTCATTGTTCAATTCTCACCTATGAGTGAGAATATGCGGTGTTTGGTTTTTTGTTCTTGCGATAGTTTACTGAGAATGATGGTTTCCAATTTCATCCATGTCCCTACAAAGGACATGAACTCCCTTCCTTACACCTTATACAAAAATCAATTCAAGATGGATTAAAGACTTAAACGTTTGACCTAAAACCATAAAAACCCTAGAAGAAAACCTAGGCATTACCATTCAGGACATAGGCATGGGCAAGGACTTCATGTCTAAAACACCAAAAGCAATGGCAACAAAAGACAAAATTGACAAATGGGATCTAATTAAACTAAAGAGCTTCTGCACAGCAAAAGAAACTACCATCAGAGTGGACAGGCAACCTACAAAATGGGAGAAAATTTTCGCAACCTACTTATCTGACAAAGGGCTAATATCCAGAATCTACAATGAACTCAAACAAATTTACAAGAAAAAAACAACCCCATCAAAAAGTGGGCGAAGGACATGAACAGATACTTCTCAAAAGAAGACATTTATGCAGCCAAAAAACACATGGAAAAATAATTCTTAAAAGAAGAGTTTCTAATCTATTTATACATACACCCATGCACGAAAATGTAAACATATGTTATACATAATACATAAACATTTTGTATACATATATCTATATACATAACATATATATGATGATGTTATGTGATAGACACTACATTCTATTAGATTTTTGCTAAGATGTTGTTCTTAATGTGAATATTGCAGTCGCCTCAGGTTGATGTATTTTGAGTGAAATACCTGCAAGACTCTCATTGCTGTCCCCCAGGAAGTATAAATGACAGATACAGGTTATAGGCAAATGGAAGATATGAGGTCAATAGTCATTGAGAGTTTCAGGATTATAATTGCTACCTTGGAGATGAGACTTGAAAGTGAGTTTTGTATAATAAACAATCTAATGACATTACTACTGGTGCCAAGTTATAAGAGTATTCTCTGTAATTATGAAATTGATAATAATATAACTAGATTACATTTTAAAATTGGATAATATGCTGCATTACCAAAACTCTTTTATTTGGATGCAAGAATTATCCGAAGGACATAGATAGCTTTGTGTTTCTCGTCCTTTTGGCCAGCAGAGTTTCCCACAGAAATGTTTAAATGCCTTCTTATGCAATACTTGCCGTCTATCAGGGGATTTTAATGTTTTTCACAAGTAGTAAAGATGGTATTTATACATTTTCTAAATTTTTTTTGTGACTTGGAAGAGTAATTTACATTAAAATAGCTAAATAGTGAACTCTTTAAAGCAGTGCTACTTACCTGTTAATTGAAATAGGATTTCATCTAATGGTAAAGAGGAGCTACTCAAATATGGAAGAGAAAGCAATTGGTTTGGCCCAGAAGGATTCACTGGTGAATTCCATCAAACATTTCAGGAAGATATACCAATTTGTTACAATCTTTTCCAGAAGATAGGAGCTGTGGAAACATTCCCTAACTTACTATAAGAGATGAAATTTACCCTAATTTTTCTCTTTTCTTTGTAGTTGACTCACCATCTCCCTTGTACTGTTACCTTCCCGTATCCAGCCAGTAACTTTTGGAGTTCCTTTCATTATATATTCTCTTCCTGGACATTAACATGCTTTGAAGGGCATACTCACAAATTTATAACTCCAAGTCAATATCTCCCTGGATTTTTCAGACATATACTTGATACAAGACAAAGATATTTTGAGTAAAAGAAAAAAAACCACAGACCAATATTTTTCATAAACATATAAGCAAAAATTCTCAAAAATTTAGCAAATCAAATCAACAATGTATAAACAGAATTATAAATTATGATCAAATGGATTTATTCCAGGTATGCATGGTTAGTCTGACATCCACAAGTTAATTAACATAAAAAGCATATCAATAGGTTAAGGGAAAAAATTATAAGATTAAATCAATAAATTCAGAAAAAATATTTGAAAAAATCAAACACCCTTTCATGATAAAACCTTTGTACAAACTATGAATGAAAGAGAATGTCTTTAATTTGGTAAAGAATAGCTGTAAGAAATCTAAGGCTAATATCATACTCAAAAATGAGAAACTGGATACTTTCCTGCTAAGATCAGAAAAAATTCAGGAACATCCCCTTTCACCACTCATTTTCAAGATCTTACTGGAAATCCTAGCTAACACAAGGAAATAAGACAAGAAAGTAAGAGGCATACAAATTAGGAACAAAGCAATGAATCTGTTCTTATTTTCACATGAAATGATTGTCTACATAGAAAATTCCAAAGAATTGACAAAATATCCTGTAACTAATTAGCAATTGTTGCAAGGTTGCTATAAAAGAAACAATTTATTTAATATATCAGCAATAAACAATTGAAATTTGAAATTAAAAAGACAATACCATATATAATACCACCATAAAAGGAAAATCTAGGTATAAATCTACCAAAATACATTTTAAATTTATACAAAGAAAAGTACAAATACTGATAAAAGAAATCAAATAACTAAATATATGAAGAGATATTCCACGTTGATGGGTAAGAAAACTCAATATTGTCAAGATGGCAGTTCTTCCCAATGTGATTTGTGGATTCAATACAATCTCAATCAATATCCTAGCAAGCTATCCTCAGATATAAAAAAGAAAGTGATTCTAAAGTTTATATGGAGATGCAAAAGATCCAGAACAAACAAAACAATATTGAAGATGAAGAACAACAATAGAAGACTGACACTAACCAACTTCAAGTCTTACTATAAAACTAAAGTAATAAAAGCAATGTGATATTGGCATGAGACAAGACAAATAACTCAATGGAACTAAATTACTCCAGAAATAGGGCCACACAAATCCAGTCAACTGATCTTTGACAAAGAAACAAAGGCAATACAATGGAGAAGAGATAGAAAAGTAGTCTCCAAAAATTGATGCTGGGACAACTGGGCATAACATAGTAAAATATCTAGATACCTTTGGGTTTGGCAATGGCTTTTTAGATATATACTGAGGGCACAATCTATGAAAGAAAGAATTGATGAGTTGGGCTTCAGTAAAATTAAAATCTCCTGCTCTGCGAAGACACCGTGAAGAGAATGAGAAGACAATTAACAGATTTCACAGATTGTGAGAAAATATTTTCAAAGGATACATCTAATAAATGACTATTATCCAAAATTCATTAATACAAATACCTAAACTCAACAATGAGAAAACAAACCCAATTTATGAATGGACAAAAGATATTAACACACACCTCACCAAAGAATATACACAGATGGCAATTAAGTATATGAAATAATGATCAACAACATACTCTAGTATAGACTGAATGTTTGTGTCCCCATACTTCATATTTTGAAATCCTAACCCCCAATGCACAGTAATAGGAGGTGAGGCATATGGCAAATTATTAGGTCACGAGGGTGGAGTCCACATTCATGAGATTAGTGCCCTAATAAAAATGAAAGAGCTTTTTACTCCTTCTGCCATGTGAGGACACAGAGATAAGACAGCCATCCATAAACAAAGAACTCGGTCCCCATGAGACACCAGATCTTTAGGTGCATTGATCTCAGACTTTCCAACCTTCAAAACTGTGAGAAATAAATGCTTATTGTTGAAGCCATATAGTCTATGGAGTTGTTGGTGTTGTTATAGCAACCCAAAGAACTAAGAAATACTTTATTAAGGAAATGGAAATTAATATAATAAGACACCAATACTTACCTATTGGAATGACTAAAATCCAAAACACTGACAACACCAAATGCTAATAAAGATGCGGAGCAATAGGAACTCTCATTCTTTGCTAGGCAGAATGCAAAATTATACAGCCACTTTGTTAGACAGTTTGGCAGTTTTTTATAAAATTAAACATAGTCTTACCTTATGATCCAACAATTGCATTCCTTGATATTTAACTAGATAAGTTGAAAACTTCTATCAATGCAATACCTTTCACATGGATGTTTATAGTGGGCTTATTCATAATTGACAAATCTTGGAAGCAATTTTTATTGTTCTTCAACAGGAGAATGGGTAAGTAAACTGTGATACATCTATACAATGAACTATCATTCAGTTCTAAAAAGAAATGAGCTATGAAGCCACAAAAAGGTAAGGTACAATCTTAAATGCATATTATTAAGTGAAAGAAACATATTTTAGAAGGCTACATACTGTGTGATCCTGTCTACATACTGTATGACATTCTGGAAAAGACAAAACGATTGAGACAGTTAAAAAAATCAATAGTTGAAAGGGATTTGGGGAGACAGTGGGATGAATACGTGGTGCACGAGGGAATTTTAGGGCAACGAAACTATTTTGTATGATACTATAATGGTGAATACATGAATTAAACATTTGTCAAAATTCCTGGAATGTAAAACATACGGAGTGAACCCCACTTTTTAACTATTGACTTTGGTTGATAATCAGGTGTTACTTTTGTTTCAGCCACCATAACCAATGTACCACGATGGTATGGGATGTTGATGGTTGGGCAGGTTGACTATGGGTGTGAAGGGTGTACATGGGGATCCTCTGTACTTTCTGTTCAAGTTTGCTGTGAACCTGAAACTGCTTAAACTATAGAGTCCATTTCTTTTTTTAAAACCAATTAATTTGTTGTTTCTCTACAGAAATAGATAGAATGAAACATTTTGAGAATCACAACTTCACGAGTCGTACTTTTTTTGGCAATTTTATTTTATTTTTTGGTAATCTGGCCACAACTTGATGGTGTTTTCCCATGTATGAACTGGATCTGCCTGTTGATCCATGTTCATGAATATCCTTCTCTGCTATCTGTCTCTTTTCTTCTACTATATCCAATATGTCTTTACAAAAATATAACCTGTTTATTTTGTTCTTCAACAGGGGAATGGATAAGTAAAATACTGAAGTATTTTCAACAGGGGAATGGATAAGTAGTATACTGAAGTAGCAGCATGCATAATTACTGACACTGTACTGTATATTCTCTGCTCTGGAATAATTTTCATTAATTCTACTACAATATCTAAAAGTCTTAGAGATGGGTATAACATATCTTTTATATGACAGTCTCTTTCATGACCAATATTCAGCTTCCATAACTTCTCTCTCAGTTTCCAAAAGTGGAAAACCGAATGCTTAATATTTTATATTTTTACCAAAACATTTAAATTATTTTTGTCACAGACAAATTTTGAGCTGTTTGATATTTAAATAAAATGGCAATGATTTTAGAGCTTATGGCCTTCATTTTAAACATCTGCACAGTTGCATGTTTCTAAAATGCAATCTTTGTTGAGTTGGGAATTATGAAGTGGGGCCGATTGGAGAGGACAATCTTTCCATTTTAAATTTTCGTGTGAATCATTACTTCTCTGCAACAGCTGAGCCTGCAAAACAAAAATGAGTCAGTCAGATGTTTATTTCATGGAACATGATTATATAAAGTACACCTGCCATGCCATAGGCATGACATCTAAAGGAAATTTGCTAGTTTTCACATCTAATAGAAATTATAGGAGGCATTCTTGGAATATAATTTTGGCCAGTTTTCACTTAAGCAATCCTTGGCCATCTAAAGTAGAATATTCAACATAGAGATGATTAATCATTTAATAGGTAATACAAATATGAGAGATGTCATAAATAAATTATATTTCCCAAAGTAAAAATACAGCTCACAGAAAATGAGATTATTTGAAACACTGTACATCTTATGGAGAGACAATAGCCAACAGAGCTTATGACCATGGGGTCTGGAGCCAAACTACTTGAACTGGGATCAGGTTTCTGTCATTTACTAGCTTTGTGACCTTAGGAAGTCATTCAAATTCTCTGTGCCTCAATTTCTTCTTTATTTGTAAAAGAAGGAAAATTATGCCATCTATCTTAAAAATTAATTATAGGATTAAATAGACTATCATCTACCTGGTATATTGTAAGTGGTCCTGATGATATCAATGATGACGATAAAGAAAAAGATGATAATTATTACCTAGGTCAATTTATTAATGTATAAGACACTCTGTTTATTATTTAGAATTAGGTATGGAGCAGCCATTTTCAGAGACATAATTGGCCTGTTTAGAAATAGAGTAAAAGATGATTAATTTGTCAAGCAGAAAAAGTCTGAGTTAATTTTTCTGAGAAAATGCTGTTTTATTTCTTTCAGTTATCTATTTGTCTAAGTGTGCACTTTAATTCACAAGAGGCACATAAACATAAATCATTCATTACTTCCTTCATTCAAATCTACTTGAAGAATATAGTGACGTACAGTGAACCATAATCAGAGATACTTGTGTGTTATTTCAAGTCCACTATATTGACAATTTTTTTTACTTTTCTCAGTTTCTATTATTTATTTCTTATTTCCTTTTTTTCTCAGTTTTATTTTTAAGTTGAGGCTTATAGGTTCTTATAGGAAATAAATAAGATGGCCTGTGTATAACACTTGACCCTGTTCTGGTTCTTTTGGAAGATGTCTTGAGGGCATGAGCTATAGTAAAATTAAAAAAAAATATTTAAGTTAGCATAGGAATTTTGGGGAGGTTGAAAATTTATTTTCTTTAAGATATTAAACATAGAATTATAACTGTCCCTGGCACATAGTGATAGGCTTTTAGTACCTTTATTTACTTATTTTATCTTGACAGCAATCACAAGGTTTCTGAATCAGTGGCAGACTATTTATTCACAAAAATGTTTTGGCATTGTTTCCCCAAGTTCCATTTCTCCACCAAGTGACATATCAAGGCAGATGTCAACCTCCATGTACAGGTAGAGTTAGTACTACAGGAGAGAAGCACTGAAATTATGAACTTCAGAGCTTTCAGAGGAATGGTTCATAATGTCCCTCTTCTTTTAAGAGAGGGAGAGAAATTTTTTCTCTATAACATAGTCACATTACTTCTGGAAAGATAGGAGGAAGTTCTTTAGGATGTTACAGCACCTTCTAATGCAAGCAAATGAAACTGGGATGATGATGATTGGTACTAGTAGTGTCATCCTTTGAAATGTGAACAAATGGCTCCAGGGAAGATTAATCTTTAAATCTGCCTGGAATATTTTACTGTCTTTCACTTCCAAGGCTTGTTTGTCATTCGTTTATCCTTTAAGTCAGGTTGCCAGTATTTTTTGCTCAGAAAGCTTTGACCATGTAGAAACATGAAAATAGTTAGTTTCCTGATGCATAGCAGGTGCTCAGTAATGGCTGAATGATTAGAGAACTGAAGGCTGGGACAAACACCTGTGCTACTGCAGAATAAATGAAGAACATGATGTATCTATGTGTGAAAGAGGCTTTCCCCACTCTGGTCCTGACCTGTTACATTAATGGCATTTTCTACTAATGATCCACCCATTCCATGTGCCAGCTTGCCCAGCTTGCCACTCTTTCACGTCTCAATACTTTACAGCGAATATTTCCTTGGTTTTCTCATTTTCTCCCAAGCAATGCCATGTATTTCAATCCAGCTCAAAGCTTACTTCCTCTGTGAATTCCTTCCAGATTTTTCCAAGGCATCAGCCTTTCCTTTGCTCTCCTACGGTATTCTGTTAAAATAGTAGTGAATCTTTTAGACAGAATATTGTGATATTACCTATTACTGTTACTACATTATGGGTTTAAATTTAAAATTTACTCATAATGTTGTCCTGATCTGTAAAATTAATAGCATTTTCTACCAATGTGCAATAAAATGCACAACAAACACAAAAACATACCTTGCTCTCACACAATCTATGTTAATTTCTAAAAATGTTTGTAACTTAAATATTACCCATGTGGCTGTAACTTTCTTGTTATTGTTAGGCAAGTTTAACACCATCCATAGAAAATCTCATGTAGAGTGTAAAGGCCAGACTGGTGATTCAAAACCTGTATGTACATTGCCCTCTGTACTCATTCATTCACATTAAAATAGTATGAAATTTAAATATGCATAACCACAAAATTTCAAACAATTGTTTTTGTATTGTCTTGTTATTTAGTTTACCTGATGAACAACATTTTGTTGTGTGCGTTGGAGAACTCATTCTATTGGATTTTAAGAATCTGATTACTTGTCTGACTCAACTCCATGGATCTTTTTTGTTTGTTTGTTGTACTTTGTTTTTTACTGAAAAATGTAAAATCAGAAAAGTGCACGAAACATAAATGTGACTTTAATAAAATAAAATTGTCAACCATGTCACTCAATGCAAGAAATATATCACATATCAGTTTACTCTCAATTACTGTAGCTTTAATACATATTTTATCTTATTAGTTTATCTCATCTTTTTCTAGAGATACTTGCAGTATATTATTATAAAAATAGCAAAATAAACCAACAAAACAGTAGAGAGTGTCAGGAAATAGACCAATGGATGTAAAGTCACATGATTTATGTTGAGAGCATCAGTACAATTTAGTGGTTGATATGATGGTCTTAAATTTAAAAGTCTGGGCTCAACTATATAGTCATAAGGAAAAATGTAATTTTAACAATTATCTCACACCAAACCAAAATAACTTCAAGCAGGTAAATAAGGCCAGGTACGGTGGCTCACGCCTGTAACCCCAGCACTTTGGGAGGCTGAGGCTGGTGGATCACTTGAGGCCAGGAGATGAAGAGCAGCCTGGCCAACGTGGTGAAACCCCATCTCAACTAAAAATACAAAAAAATTAGCTGGGCATGGTGGTGTGCACCTGTAATCCCAGCTACTTGGGAGGCTGAGGCACAAGAATTGCTTGAACCCAGGAGGCGGAGGTCGCAGTGAGCCGAGATCGTGCCACTGCACTCCAGCCTGAGCGATAGAGTGAGACTCCATATCAAAAATTACAACAACAAAAGATTATAAGGATAAAGGTAAATTTTAAAAATATATAGATAAAAACATAAGAAACATGTTTACAATCTTAGGGTAGACAAGGCAAAGGGAATTCATACAGTACTAACTTTAAAAAAGTATTTAGAAATTAAACTTGAAAAGTTGAACAGTTACCTCACAAATACACCAAAATCATATGATGAAAAAACCAACATCACTAGTCATGACAGGAGTGCAAGCCAAATCCACAAACATGCAAAAATCCTACCACACATCCACCAGAATAGTTAAAATAAAGAAACTGACCACACCAAGAATCAAGCAAAGGTATCTATAGATCAACTGAAACACATATATTGCTTGTACCACTGTAAATTGGAACAACTACTTGGGAAAAGCTTTTGTCAATAAAGGTCAGCTTCAGTATATATTAACAAAAAGTTTTCCGAAGTAGTTGTTTCAATTTACAGTGGTACAAGCAATATATGTGTTTGAGTTGGTTTACATCCTCTCTGGATACTTGGTGTGGTTACTTTTTTTCACTTAGCCTATAATCCCAAAATTCCATTCTAGGTATATATTCAATGAAAATTAGTGTTTATGAACAAGAAAAAAAAGTAAGACAATGTTTATAAGAGCACTATTTATAACAACAAAACCTAAATCAATCCAGATGTCTAGCAACAGTAGTATGTATAAAATATGACAGTATATCAAACGGATTGTAGTGAACAATGCAAAAGACCAAACCTCTTCTACAAAACCCAGCATGGATGATCCTTACAGGAATAATTTTAACTAAAAAAATGTGAGGCAAGGCCGGATGCAGTGCCTCACACTGTAATCCCAGCGCTTTGGGAGGCTGAGGCAGGCGGGTCACGAGGTCAGGAGTTCGAGACCAGCCTGACCAACATGGTGAAACCCCATCTCTATCAAAAATACAAAAATTAGCTGGGTGTGGTGGCAGGCACCTGAAATCCCAGCTACTCAGGAGGCTGAGGCAGGAGAATCGCTTGAACCAAGGGGGCAGAAGTTGTAGCGGGCCGAGATCCTGCCACTGTGCTCCAGCCTGGGCAACAGAGTAAGACTCCATCTCAGAAAAAAAAAAAAAAAAAAAAGTGAGGCAAAAAAACTGTATTGCATAACTTCATTTAAATAAAACTCTCTGTAGTGATAGTGATCATGTTTGTGAGGAGAGTTGACTAGGGAGGGATATCTTACTGGTAATGTATGAGAGGGAGCATGTTGGGACTGGAAATAATATAAACCTTGATATGAGAGGTAATTGCATGCATATATAAAAATGTAAAAATTTTAGCTACATCCTTATTAAAACTGAACTATAATTCTAAAATTTGTGCACTTTAATATAGCTAAGTCTTACCTTAAAAAAAAGAAAAAATGTTTTCTTACCTGTATTTCACTTTTTACTGTCTAAATTCTGGAATCACATCATCACATAATATTCATCACAGAAATTTGCTGGAAGTGCATTGGCTTTATAGATCAGTTTAGAGGGAATTGACATCTGCACAATATTAAGTCTTCTAATCCCAGAATATGGCATATATTTTCTTTTGTTAAAGTCTTTTTCATTTTTCTCAAAAATATCATTTTATATAGAGTTTTCAAATATTATCTTAGATTTATGTTTTATAATTGTTCTTTTTGACACAATTGCAAAAAGCATCCTCTGTTTGCAGCTGAGAATTCTTATTTCTCTTAAATTTATTGGACCCTGTAAAAAAATAATAAAGTTTTCAATTCATGTTTATACAATTTGAAGAAAAAGTAATGTAAAACTCAGCTTCTACCTCTAAAGTTTCACTAACTCTGAATTTGTGCATTCACCTCTAATATATGAATATAAATACTTTTCATAAAATTTGTGACTCAAATATTTTTATTTTCTTAAAATAATAACAACCATTTATAACCATAGCAAACATTTATTGTTTAATTGCAATATGCTAAGTGCTGTGCCAAGCATTTAACATACGTAATCATAATTAACCTTAAAACAAACCTATGATTTAAAATTCATAATTATGTTCATTTCACAGGTGAGGAAACTAAGACATAGACTATTAATATCTGTGATACCATATCAAGTTAGGGCCAGAGCTAGATGAGTGATTCAAGCCTTTCTGACTATAACACAAATTAGTTTAAATATGATTTAATTTATTCTAATTAATTGTAGGATTTAGCATGATTATTGATTAAAACAGTCCCATACTTCACTATTATGTGCTTTAATTTAACAAAGACTATTTATAACTCATCTTGTATGAGGGATTTTATTATTTTAATCAATTGTTGATGGAGCTCAAATATAGATTAAAAACACATTCTATTACATTGAAAAAACAATTTAACATCATTATAAATGAGCTAACCAAGGATTGCTGACACTTGCCAAATAACATTACAAACTGTGTTATCTGCTTAGTGTGGATACAAAATATATTACTTCAAATTTGCTTCAATGGATATGTTCTTTAGTGCAAAACAGTGTCATTTTAATGAGACCAAAATATTCTCTGTATTTCTTTAAAATGAAAAGATATTTTTGCTATATTTAAGTTAAAATTAACATTAAGGGTTATAAGTATAACATGGCCATCAAAAGTGTAATGGAATATATGTGTAATGGAAGAGTAATAGAGTAGATGCCTGTACAGGCATATCGAACATTTGACTTCCTTCATGGCATTTATAAATACATTGCTTTCTCTCGTGGAAATTTTAATATAAATTAATAAAATTATTTTTAGTTAAATAGAGTTCACAGGAGAAAATCATGCTTTTTACAGCAGGTAAAGAATTGGCACATGCATTATTTTAAGAATGTCAATAAGCCAGCTGATTTTTACCAAAATACAAAGCCATATAACCAAAATGGAGTTCACAATTCTGCACATGAGGAAAAGAAAATTACTTAGACTATGTGGGGAATAGTGGTACCTACTTCAGTTTGGAGTGAAATATTTTATAGTAAGAAGAAAACTTCATGGTTTAATTCACTTTTCAGCAAAAAAATAAAATAAAGTTTGCTATTAAAATATTCCAGGAAATTACCACTAATTCTGTTTATTTGAAGCCTCTGTCCTATATATCGGGAGGATGTTTTTTCTCAGAAAGATGAAAATGCAATAGTGCACAATGAATCTGAAAACAACAAAAGCAATTACACTTCTTTTGAAAAATGGAAAACATACACACACACACAAGCACACATGACACAGATAAAACGAACTGGTAGGTTTTGAGCTTTGTTTGATGTGGAACTTTCCACCACAAATAACATATTTCAAACAGATTAAAGACAGAGAGCATTTTGTGTTTATTTAACCCGCCCAGAGTATACTGATCTTAAATAGTAATGACGTGTAAGAAAGTATTTTAATAATGTCATAAAAATATACCTATACCATCAAATTTAATGAACTTAATCTCTATATAAATACTACATAAAAATGATTAAATTCTTTTTTTTTTCCTGTGGAATCATTGGTCTCCTTTGTCTAACAGAAATTTCATTTATGTTTTTAACCTTTAAAAAATATTTTCTTTCTTCCAAAATCTTTGAAAAGAATACGTAACTGTTATTGACATATCTCTTAATAAGTTTAGAATTTCTGATTAATTGCAGCACATGGATTTATTCCCCTTCTGTTCCTCCCTCTTCTGGGTCATTTTTTTTTTCTTTTCCCTTCCCTGTGAATTCCTTGACTGTCATTAAGAACAGCTCCTTACTAAACCTATAGTTGATACTGATTTTACTAAAGATTTTTACAGGTGAGTAAAGTAAGTTCTGACCCAATGAAATAGACAAGTGAGCTTGTTTAAAGCAAAAGGAAAGAAATAAAGTGCTGTAATGAAGATAATATAGTTTTGCTTTATGCTATTTGCAAACTGAAAATTAATGTGATATTCATGTTACTATATTTTGTTTTATTGCAAAGGATATTCAGAGGCTTCTTAGAGATTTCCTGGCAAACATGGCTATGACTAGAAAGAATTTATGTAGTATTATAGTAATTATTTCAGGAGAAAAATACCATTGTGCCTTACACTATAATTTCATACAACAGTAGGATTGCTGAAGCTGTTGTTCTTTACTTCTTTCCTTGTTTGTGACTATGTACATGAGGGACCTGGGGAAATGCTCAGAACACTAGGATGGAATGCAAGAGAACAGAATTCTAACATGGTTTTGCTACTGATTGTATATAAAAAAAGAGAAATGTAGTAGACTTTATTGGGTCTTTTAATAGTAGTAGTAGATTATTGGAAGAAACGAAAATGATATGAAAGGCATGTTTTTACTCAAAAACTCAATACCAGATTGCTTTACAGGTGAGTTCTATCAACTACAAAAAGAAAGTTCAATCCAATCCGGTGCGATACAAGTAGTTCCAGAAAATAGAGAAAAAGCTGTCAAGTGCACTTTATGAGGCTAAAGTATTTTGTCAGTAAATGTTTAGAAACCAAACTGTAGCTAAAATAAATCATAAAACATATTTATACCCCAGTAAATTTTCACAAAGTGAATGCTTCTCTGTAACTATAATCTAGATCAAATAATGGAATATGGCAAATGCCCAGAAGACTCTTTCATGCTGCCTCCTAAACTTTATGCTTCTCAAAGTGAACAGCTGCCCTGCCTTCTAAAGCTAATCTATGTTTTGCCTCTTTATGAACTTTTGGTAAATCAAATCATACAGAAATTACTCTCAGTATGTCTGGCTTCTTTCATTCTATGTTTTATCATGACATTCATTCATAAAAGTGTATAGATTTACATATAGATGAAGTTCATTAAATTTTATGGTAAAACTATATTTTTATGACATTAATAAGATACTTTCTTACACATCATCACTATTTAAGTTCAGTATACTTTGGGTACGTTAAATAAACACAAAATACTCTCTGTCTTTAATTTGTTTGAAATATGTTATTTTTGGTGGAAAGTTCCACATCAAACAAAGCTCAAAACCATGAGTTTGTGTTATGTGTGTTGTGTGTGAGTTTGTGTATGTGTGTGTGTATGTTTTTTATTTTTCAAAAAAGTGCAATTGCTTTTGTTGTTTTCAGATTTACTATGCTATTGCAACTACATCTTTCTGAGAAAAAAATCCTCCTGATGTACAGGACAGAGGCTTCAAATAAATAGAGTTAATGGTAATTTCCTGGAATATTGTAATAGCAAACTTTAAGAGTATTACTGATGAAAAGTGAGTTAAACCATTAAGTTTTTTTTCTTAATATAAAATATTTTACTCCAAACTGAAGTAGACACCACTATTCCCCACACAGTAATATAGTCTTATCTAAGTAATTCTCTTTTCCTCACTGCAAAATTATGAACTCCATTTTGGTTACATGGCCTTGTATTTTAGTAAAAATTAGCTGGCTTATTGACATTCTTAAAATAATGCATGTGCCAATTCTTTACCTGCTGTGAAAAACATGATTCTCTTCTGTGAACTGCATTTAACTATTAATAATTTTATTAATTTATATTAAAATTTCCATCCAAGTAAGCAATGTATTTACAAATGCTTTCAAGGAAGTCAAATGTTTAATATGACTATATAGGCATTTATTCCATTACTCTTCCATTACACATATAGTCAGTTACACTTTTGATGGCCATCTTATACTTATAACCCTTAATGTTAATTTTAACTTAAATATAGCTATACATTTTTTTCACTTATTTTATTTTATTATTATTATACTTTAAGTTTTAGGGTACATGTGCACAACATGCAGGTTTGTTACATATGTATACATGTGCCATGTTGGTGTGCTGCACCCATTAACTCGTCATTTAGCATTAGGTATATCTCCTAATACTATCCCTCCCCCCTCCCCCACCCCACAAGAGTCTCCAGTGTGTGATGTTCCCCTTCCTGTGTCCATGTGTTCTCATTGTTCAATTCCCACCTATGATTGAGAACATGCAGTGTTTGGTTTTTTGTTCTTGTGATAGTTTGCTGAGAATGATGGTTTCCAGCTTCATCCATGTCCAAACCAAATGTCCAACAACAATAGACTGGATTAAGAAAATGTGGCACATATACACCATGGAATACTATACAGCCATTTTTTTCACTTTTAAAAATACTGAAAATATTCTTTGGAATTTTATAAATTAACAAGAAGGAGTGAACCAACAGATCGTCAGGGTTCAAGCAGCAAACATATACCTTTAAGTAACCTGGTAAGGACTCATTGCCCTACATTGACCGTCTTCCTTTAAACCTAAATTTGGGTGGAGAACCTAACTATGGCTTTTGGATTCAAAGGAGTTTTACCAATAGTGTCCAGGCCTTAGATAAACCTAGCCAGGTGTTCTAGATTATGTACTGAACAGAACATTCTCTACTGAGTTGCATTTCAGTTTTTGTCATAAATAAAGCTACCAAATGTAGGTGTGTCTCCTTCTGGATGTTTGTTCTGTTCCATTGGTCTATTTCTCCTTCCTTAAGCCAACATCACAGTATCTCAATTACTATATCTTGAAGTCTAGAAATCTTGTAGAATAAATCTTCCAAAGTTTTTTTTTCTCAATTCCTTTGCATTTCCATACAGATTTTAAATCAGCTTATTCATTTCTATAGAAATATACTGGGATTATGATTTGGATTGCATTGAATATATAGTTCAATTTGAGTGAGGATAAATTTTTCAGCATTTTAGATTATTTCAATATTTTATTGGCTTATATATTTTATTAAAAGGAGCTTTTTAAATGAGTTGGTCAATTTTTAAATATTAATTATGATATATTATTTTTTATTATCCTTTTCAATATTGCTTCTGTACCATTCTCCTCTTTTCTTTTTGGGATTCCAATTACCCAAATTAGATTTTTTCACTATACCTATTATGGTCTTTTCAGTGTTTCAGTTTGAATGTTTTATATTGATTTGAGTTTCTATTTATCTACTATCAAAGATTCTATTGTTAAAGTTATTTACTGCATTCTTAGGCTTGTTTTGTTATAAAATCACCATTTGACTCATAAATATATTTTTATTTTATTGTAGTTATCTCTTATTTTATTTACTTTCTTTTTTCTTCTCTATTTTATTAAACATGGAACTCATAGTCGTTATAAGGTGACTTTTTCTGTTGTAGGTTTTCACTTTTGTGTTTTGGTCCCATAGTACTAAGAATGCCTATTTTTACTTGAATACTCTGCATTTTATATTTATTATTTTAATCCTCCTCATTTGAAAGTTTACCATTTCTTTATTAGACAGGTACACTAGGGACTAACTGGAGACTTTAGTTGGTCAGGATTGCACTTTTGTTAAAGTTCTGTCAAACTTTTTTTGTCCCAGATAATAGGGTATAATGGTAGTTTTCACAAGGCTCCTAACTTTAACATATCCTGACTTACAACCTTTGTTTTTCTTAGTGCAGTGGGCCTCCCAAAGGTCTGATCTTTTTGGAGAGCATTTGCAGAGTTTTGTTTGTATTTTCTCCTTGCACTATGTAGCTTCAAAAGTTGGAAAATATCTTGAGGGAAAATCTGGCAGCATGTCAGGCTCAGTTCCCTTGTCCCATGAAATTATCTAAAGCTCTACTTTTTTCTCTGTTTCACAGTAGCAGTTTCTTAGCCCAGAAAAATTCTGAATTCACAGACAACTTGTTATGTGAATTTGCAAATGTCTTCAGGGAAAAAGTGACATCAGCTAACATCTCTGAAGTTCTTTCCTCACTGGAATCTTGGCTCCCTTAGTTCTGCTGCTTCAAAAGCTCTCGGATGTATTTAAGTAGATTATTTTCAGAGTACTCTGCCATGTTGAGAAGGTGCAATGACATCAATGTATAATATTTTAAATTAATTATATTCAAAGTGTTAGAAATGTTGCTTTTCTATATATTCTAACATGTTCTAAAAGCATCACGTAACTACATGTGTAAAAATTCATTAAAAGTGTTTGAGAAACAAAAGAAATTATGACATATCTAAAAATTAAAATAGCCACTCGTAACATCACTTAAATAGTAATAGAACGAAAGGTGGAGTAAATGTACCACTTGACATTCAGTCTATATTCATTTATTTCCTCGGATTACCCTCATTTCACTTTGCTTTATGTATTTCTGGGCAATTTTAGGTAATATAAATTAATAATTTATATGTAATGCTTCTGAATCATGTGTCTGGGCTATTTATTGATAAAAGGGTTACATAACTCTCAAAATTTTAGGAATCATTCATAGTATAGTCTACTCCTGAAGATTAATTAATATTTGATTTTAAAATACTTCTTCTTTTATGTCTTACACTGAGAAATCCTGAGTGTAAAAGGATTTTTACACTCTTCTTTTATGTCTTACACTGAGAAACTTTGTAACTGTTTTCCAGACTTATTTCACAACTACACGATTTCTTTTGCTTTATTTTTTCACACTTTTGACTTCATATTTGGCCAAAAAAAGCCTTTCACTTTTATCTTTCTCATAGCACTTTTAAAATGTCATCTAACTATGGTTCCCCCGTGGAAAACACTACTTTGTTATAGTTAATAAAACAAATTTATGGATAATAAATATAAACCTTTCTCCTGTTTCTTACCTTTCCCAGAGTGTCTTTCCAAAAAAAAAACTCTTAATCCCATGAAAAATACAAAATTATACTTATCTTCCCATAAAATGTCTAAACATCTAAATATAATATTCATGTGTGGTACAGTCTAGATTTAATACATTTTACATCGTCATACTGAACTGCTCCTAAAGGTAGTTTCTCAACAGCCTTTCTCTTAAAATTTCATGTTATTTTTATAATTGCCATACTGTTTCCGCAGAAGAAAATTTTCTCTCCTTTATTTTTCATGTGTAAGGAAACAATATTCAACTTTCAAATTTCCATGACATTACTATTAAATTTACACATAATTTAACTTCATTTATGAAGGTTCTTTAAGTCTTGAAATATATACTTATTTTCCTTCTATTATCCCAGAGCTGGCATCTTGATTATGGTACATATTTAATCCAGGTGTATTATGTTTTTAACATTAACTCTCATCACTTTTTAAATTTTGCTTATAGTATATGTGAAATGTGTTAGAGAAAAAATCTCATCCGTTCTCTGCAGTTCTCTTAATTAAGCTGATATTTCTCTTTCTGATATTTCCAGTGTTTCTAGTACTTATTATGAATTTTAAAAAATAAGTCTTTGAAAGTAAGGATTAAGTGAAAAACTTCTTAACTAGCATAAAGTGCATAGAATAGGACTTAACAAATAACAGGCAGTAAATATTTGTTACGTTGAAGGAATTTAAGGAGGTATTCTTTCCAGGTTTGTTAATAGTTTGTTCAACAACCAGATAATCACTTTACATGCACTCTCTCTCTCTCTCTCTATATATATATATATATGTATGTATATATATATATATATATATATATATATGTATATATATATATGTATATATATACAACAAAAGAACAAATATATATATATATATATATATATATATATATATATATAAAATTCAGCTCATTGTCTTAACATTCCCAAAAGAAACTGTAGTGTACTTTTAGAGAATCAATAGTGCACTTTTAGAGAATCAATAGTAACAGAGACGGCTGCCTGAAGAGTCCAAGGAATCTAGTTCTATTCAATAGCATTTACTTAGCTAAGCTTAATAGAGCAGCAAGAAAGACAAGTACTCCTTACTACAATTGAAGATCTGTCCTCTGATGGATGCGTGGTATGTACAGCTCCTTACTTTGTTCATATGCATGAAAGTAGTGAATTATAAGCTGTATTTAAAAGCAGTTTTTAAGGAAAAACTCAGTAAGTTATCGAATACCCCATCAAATTAAATAGATAGAGAGTAATGATGTATCTGACCATTTCCATTAAATTATATTGGTATAACTTGGAGAATCAAATAAAATGTTTTATACTCAACAATTGTTTCCTCTTGAAAATTTAAAATCTAAAGTTAATACCTATATAACTGAATGACCATCTGGCTCCACCTTTAATATTTATATATAGTTCTTACATTTTTCAGATTTTTAGGTGTGTCCTCAAGTTCATATTCAGTTAACAAGAAATGTTTCATTTTCTTGATTTCACAGAAGACTTATTTTCTCATTTTTATTATATAGCATAATGATAAGCTTTATTCACCATGATAAGAATCACTTTATGTACAATTATTGAAAATAAAACATACTCATGAAATACCTGTTAGTATTATTGCTATAAACCACAGCTCATTTTCCAATAACACTGACAGCATTTTAAATACTTGAGAATCAGGGTGAAATGGAACCTGTATGTAGAGAGACTTACAGTGCCTTTTTAATGTTTAAGTCCTTAATATTCATTTTTATGTTATGGAGTGGCAGTTGGTATATGTAAGAGAAGAGAAACTGTTTGTCTCTTAAAAACTGAGGGGCATTAAAGTTCTATACCTACTCAGCTACCATGGCAGGTGTTCTTCCTTTTCCATGTAGGCCACTGATGCCCAGTAAAAAGTGTCATCAACTAGTATTTGTAGTTTAGACAACAAAAGAACAAATTTGCACAAATTTAGTCTCCATTTGAAGGCTCTTTAAGAAAATACACACGCATACTTTATAAAGTATGTCCACAAGCACTTATGACTTATGTAGAGAGATACCTTTGAAAAACATATTTATCTATTTATAAGTTCTAATTAAGAGACAGGAAATCTATGTAAAGATTTATATTCAGCTAGTTGGATCCAATTATCCCCCACTAGGTATGACTCTCAATTATTCCTCTTTCTCTTTTATATATGACTTATCCTCTCCTTTGAAGATCTGCATTCTTTGATTTTAGAGTCTTGTTGATGAAGGTGCTTTTCTGCATGTATGTGACGATAAGAAATACATTTTCAACTCTCTTCTTTGCTCTTTATCTTACTGTTCCTGTAATACTACCCTGTACTTACAAGAATGAGATCCAGAGATACTGATAAATAGTTCCACTGGATATTTTAAGATATAGATGTAACCCAGTTAAAATCTTTGTCTGTCAGGGTTTAGTTAGGAAACAGAAACATCAGTAAATTGAATAGGAAAAATTTAATATAAAGAATTTTTAGCTATGCAACAGTTGTGTAACTACTAAAACAGATAAGAAATCGCTCTACAATCAGCAGATGGAACAACTTCAGAATGTAGTTCCTATACCTCGGGCTAAAGAATAAGTAAATGAGGAAGAAATACAAAGAAGCTTCTGAAAGGTTGAGATTCAAGCCACTTATGAATGGGTATGATTCCCATGAGAATACAATGCCCAGACATATAGTGATGATGAACTTTGTTGGAGTGTGCCCACTGCTGAATGGAGGCTCACTGCCACTGTAATTGTAAAGAAACTGTCTGGAGGACATTAGTATCAGAATCACAGGGATTGTCATCATTGTGGTCAATGCTTCCAGAACCAGTAGATACAAATGACCTCTCACTATCACACTGAAACAAATAAAAACTTCAAGAAAAGTTCCTTAATCTTCCTTGACATATGCAGTATCCCATGGTAGCCTCAATTGGCAAAGCATAACATCAAGCTAACAGAGGAGAAATGTAGTTTGCACAGTCTCAGTTCCATAATCACAAAAATAAGACAAAGCAACATGGGTATGGAGTTCAAAGGCAATAAATAATAACTGGAATAGTCTACCTTTTTTGGTTGTTCAGCATGTAGTCACATCTTTCTACACACCTTTCAACTTTTATGGAATAACTCAAGTCTACGTTTCCACCTAAAAGTACAGCTATCTTTTGTAAAAGTGAAGAAGTTATCATCCTGTCCCCAAGATAAAGACACACAGTCTCAAGAGTTCTTGTATCCAACAGTGGCTATATCAATTACACTTTCACCATCCCACTGAATATTTCGATATCTAAGTACTAAATTATATTTAGCGGTAAATACTAAATATTAAATTTCAATAAACTTGTATAAAATAAGAGGAAAAGATAAAGAACAATTTTATATATTCATATAATAATCCATAACTCTTCATATTATATTTATATAATAATCCATAAGTCTTCAGAAAAGTAGTTGAGAAGAACCACATTTCAATTTGACCAGTTGCTTCTGGATACTGGAATATGTGGTAAGACTAAACAATTCCAGGGGCATGAGCCTATTGCTGAACTTCCTTTGCTATAAAAAGAGTCCCTTGATTAGAACAAATTCAGAGTGGAATACCATGATGGTGGATAAGGCATTTGTGAGTGTATAGATATGGATTTTGACAGAATTATGGGCAAGGAAGGCAAATCTACCCCCAGAATAGTTGTCTATCCTAAGGGGAATGAAACTTTGCCTTCTGTACAATTGAAAGCATTCAATGAAATGAACATATCATTAAATATTTAGTTGATTCCACCAGAATAGTGACATATTGAAAGTGCAGTCTGGGGCCGGGCGCGGTGGCTCACGCCTGTAATCCCAGCACTTTGGGAGGCCGAGGCGGGCGGATCACGAGGTCAGGAGAACGAGACCATCCCGGCTAAAACGGTGAAACCCCGTCTCTACTAAAAATACAAAAAATTAGCCGGGCGTAGTGGCGGGCGCCTGTAGTCCCAGCTACTTGGGAGGCTGAGGCAGGAGAATGGCGTGAACCCGGGAGGCGGAGCTGGCAGTGAGCCGAGATCCCGCCACTGCACTCCAGCCTGGGCGACAGAGCGAGACTCCGTCTCAAAAAACAAAAACAAAAAAAAAAAAAAAAAAAAAAAAAAAAAAAAAAAAAAAAAAAAAAGAAAGTGCAGTCTGGAACTCTACTATTGTTAAATTAGGCACTCAGCTTTAGCAGTAGCAGAATGAGCTTTGGTAAGGGGAAGTCCACTTAGTTGAGTCTACATATAACCACTATTTCTGCCAAAATGGCCACTTTGTTCATGGGGTTGAGTACACACAACATAAACCAGTGTCTCTGGAGAAAGATGCTGGCTGATATCCATAAAATATGTCATTTTTTCCACCTGATTGTCCAGCCAATCCATTAGAAACTACCCATAAATCAAAGTATATCCATACTTCTGATCATTCCCCTTTCCAATGTATCACTCAAGGTTCTGTCCACTGGGCAGAACTGGCTTTACTACAATACTTTAGTACTCCCGCTTATTGGGTTGTAAATGCCAGTGTCTGAGGTAGAACCAACTGTAAATAAGAAATTTTTTTTCCTAATCAGCTATTTGTAATAAATTCTCCATGAGACTTTAGGGGCCAACTGAGTAAGCAATAAAGGAAGGGTCAATGTCAAAGGAGTCTGAACTACTTCTATACCTACATGCACTCCAGTCTCTTACATATATTTTTTTATTTGATGATAATTCATTATTATGCCTTTTCACAGATTTGCTGAACAGTTAAAGGAATCTAAGTTTGTCTAATCACCAATGTTCCATGATTAACCATAAATTCTCTACCAAAACCCAGTAGCAAGACAGAAGCTATTCTACAAAACAATAGTTATTTGCGTAAGAGGACAAGGAGTTGCTATAAAACCCTAGAGGTGTAAAATTATTTTTGTGTGTATTTGAAAGTGGGCATATACCAAATTCCATTCATCCCAGACAGTTTATTAGATTTGCTGAATCATAAGTTTCAAATAGAAATAAGTTTTATACTATAGTCTAGATTTGTTGTAGAATTTCCATTTTCTGTGGTACTGCTCAGTACTTGCAGCTTTATTGAATGACTCAGTGGACAGAAGTAGCACAGTGAACTGTTTTATATGTTGCTGCCAAAATAAATTAAATAAAATAACATATAATAATAATTTTAAGAATTCTATTAAGTGTTGTACCTCATTTTCTTTCTTTCTTTCTTTCTTTCTTTCTTTTTTTTTTTTTTCAGACAGAGTTTCACTCTTTTTGCCCAGGCTGGAGTGTGCAATGGCGCAATCTCAGCTCACTGCAACCTCCACCTCCTGGGTTCAAGCGATTCTCCTGCCTCAGCCTCCTGAGTAGCTGGTATTATAGGCATGGGCCACCACACCCGGCTAATTTTGTATTTTTACTAGAGTCGGGGTTTCTCCATGTTGGTCAGGCTGGTCTCGAATTCCCGACCTGAGGTGATCTGCCTGCCTCGGCCTCCCAAAGTGCTGGGATAACAGGCATGAGCCACTGTGCCCAGCCCTGGCCTCATTTTCTATTGTAGTGGTATGAAGTACACTAGCTTTTAGTTTACTGTGCAGAGGTTATCTTCACATGCTGTAAACCATTTGGCCCTTAGACACTTCCCTGTGATGGTGGGCCCCTGGCACTTTGTGACTGTGTCAACAAATCTCTCACTCACATGCCTTAATACATTACTTACTAGTTTCTGGTCATCACAACCACTTAGCATTGTGTCATCCATGTAGTGAACTGATTTGATATTACATAAAATGCCAAGCTGTGAAAGCGTATTATTGGACTTATTAAGTGAAAAGAAAAATTGTTCTCATGGCTTTTGAAATTATCATTAAGAAAATATAAGAGTCATATCCACAGCATACTAGGTGCCATGGTGTGTGTTGGTTTCTTCCTACAAAGATGTTACATTAAAAACAGAAGCTGCATTCAAAGTTGCCATTTGATGGAATTTACAAAAATCCAATGTCCTACTGCACAATTCTCCCAGTTTCTGCATAGACACACAGGCAAACTAAATGTGGATGTGGTAAGTGTCAATATCTACACCATTTTTTAAGTCCTAGATGTGGGGCACCACTCTCTAGAATGCTCTCTATGTTGGATTATTGCTGTGGTTTACTATCCTGGCATGGAGTGGGAGTTCTATGTGATTCCAATGATCTCTTTCTACAGTGACTTTAATATAGGAGTTAAGGATCCATGTAGAAATTTTGCCATTTGCAAAGAATATCTATTTAATAATATATTTAAGAACCTGGGAAATAACGATTCCATTAGTGAGTGGAACAACCGTGTCCATTGAGTAGAGATTAGGCTACAAACCTCCTCACACACAAAGGCTGACCATTTGAATTGTGAACTGGGATGGCATTTTGTGTTCCCCAGAAATTAACGTCAATTCAGAATCAGTGTTTAGTAATACCTGAATAGTCTAGTTACTTCATTTTACCATCTCACATTTATTCTAGTATATGAGTGCATATTTCTTTAAAAAGAATCGGAAGAAGATTTAGTCAGTTAACTTGCAGCAGTGATAGAGTCATTAGTCAAGTAACCCAGGTTTGCTTTAATAAAATGACTCTGGTATACTTAAGTATAGACACTGCATGAATCTCTGCTGCAGAAGATCATCGGAATTTTGACCAACTGATCTTTACAATTTTCTTTTATTGATCAAACAATATTGTTGTAGGCTTTGAACCTATTTAATTTCTGCAGAAAGTGTGACCAAATATCCACAGACAAAAATCCCTGTGGATAAAACATTATGACTCTTGATGTGTCCCTGTTTCCACTTATGGTAAAGTCACCCATTTTGCCTTTGCCAGTAAAGTGCTGCCATGGTACTACACCATAGTTCTCATCCTCATTCAGATCAGGGAGCTTACTCATGATGTTAACTTCCATAATCATATCTAGCCTACACAGGAAATCAGGAAGAGTATTTTAAGAATGAAGGTGCTGATTTCAGTTTCTGGATAACATGACAAGCAGGGATAAAATTTACCCTCTCAATTTTTTTTTTAAAAATGGCAAAGTATATGAAACCATCATTTTTACACATTAAACATCAGGAAGGGCTGTTATCCTTGAGAGAGGAAAAATAAACAACTTGCTTGGAAAGATTTTCCAGAATGTAGCAAAAGCATGGGCAGTACAGCTGGAGTCTGGGAGTCACTCTAAATTGAGGAGACAGAGCTGGAAGACAAGGGAGGCCAAGATGGCAAATGTTCACAGGGCATAGAAGCAGAAAGGAGAGAGATGCAGAATGAGGGAGAAAGCTCCATAAACCTACAAAGTTTCCCTCCCCTACCTTTAGCTGAATAATTATCAGCATATCACATATGTGTGAGGAAACTTCCAGAGGTATTGAATCAACCAAAAGAAAATGAGTGAACAAGTCCCAATATTTACACAGGGCTGGAAACAGTTTGGACTGAAAATACATCATGCTCCTCTGAGCCAACAAGATCCTGTAAGTCCCAGGATGATGGTGGCTTACTCAGCAGAATATTGTCTCGGTAAAGGGGCAAAATTGTCTCTACATTAAAGGCTGTGCTTGTCCTGCATAATGAAACCTTAAAAGTACATCTTAAAAGAATTGAACCATTTTTAAGTAACTCAATTGTATCCATGTAATGACAAGACTGATGCTACAGAGCTTGGCTTTCTGAAGGCAATAGGGATAATGGGATCAAAAAGACAACAGAGGCCAGGTGGAGTTTCTTAATTATTAGAGGTTAAGGAGAAGGTGTGCATTTTTGCAATAATTGGTGAGTTTATAACAACCAACAAGGGTGAATGGCAGCCAAAATTTGTGTAGCCTTTTCCCATTCCCAAATTCTAAAATCATTTCCCCATTTTTAGGTATTTATTATATCAGTACCCAATTTCCAGGTCCCTAAATCTATTACTACTTTCCAATTACTTATGTGACAACTTACCACAAACCTAGTGACTTAAAAACAAGCAAATTTATTATCTTAAGCTTTTGGAGTCAGACATCTGAAATAGGACTCACTAGGCTAAAATCAAAGTGTCAGCAAGGCTGCATTCCTTCTGAAGGCTCCAGGGATAGAGTCTTTTTTTTTTTTTTTTTCAGTTCCTAGAGACCTCCCAACACTGCTTGGTTTATGGCCCAGTTTCCGCATATTTATTCTCAGCAACATGAAGCCAAGTTCTTCTCACACTGCTGACTCTCTGGTTCTCTTTCTTCTCCTTCTTTCTTCCATTTTTAAGGACCCTTAGTTAATACATCCATATAATTCTGTATAACGTTCCTATGTGAAGATCAACTAATTGGCATTATTCGTTCCATTTGCAACCTTAATTTTCTTTTGTCATGTAACTTAATCTATTCATAGGTTCAAGGAATTAGGACATGAAAATTGCTGGGAATCTGTTATTCTGCCTGTGGCATGTGATAAGATCATAGTAGAGAAGGCCATTTGGAGGCATCTGAAGTTGCCCTTCACTGGGCTAATAAATCAAAATAACAGCATATGCCAGGAGGGACGGGATGTGGTAGAGATTAGTGCCAACATTAGGAATCTAAAATAATGTAGGTGTGTGGTCCCTGTCATATCTATGTTCAGTTCATCCGTTTGCCCTTTGTAGAAACTGGATGATTCATGGAGAATAACTATAGACTATCATCAACTCAACCAAGCAGCAGCTTACATTTCAGCTGCCATGCCAGATGTGACATATTTGCAAAAGCAGGTAAATGTGGTCTTAGGTACATGGTAAATGGCAATGGTTAATTTGTTCTTTTCTAACCTAATTAGCAAGGAAAAACCGAAACTGTTCACATTCACATGAAATGGACAATCAAATAAGTTTACACTTTGTCACAGGGTTTTGGTAACTCTCTTGCTTTCTATAATAATATTGTCCAAAAGCATATGGAAACTCCTGACATCTTATAGAATATCACATTGATGTTTTTCATTAGTGACATATTTTTTAGCCTGAGTGATTAAGGTTGGCTTGCATGCTGAAGGCATCTATAGAGCTCAGGTGCTTCAGGATGTGAGACATAACCGTGTGTGTTTTAGGGCCTGCCACAATTACTACATTTTTATGGTTTTAGTGGCAAGGGGCTTTTATATGACATGCTTAGCAAAAACAAAACACAAATTATTTCAACTTGCACCTCCTTCCAAAGAGAACAAGGAAAACATTCAGTGGTTTTTGAGTTTTGATGTCATCATTTTACTAGGGCTACTATTTTAGCTACTAGATGAACCGAAACCTGCCATCTTTAAGTAGAACCCAGAGACAGAAAGCCATGCAGAAGGCATAAGCAAAAGACTCTATGTTGTTAGAGATATCACTAATGGAAAAACATATACCATTTATAGTTTGCAGCAAATGTCAGTGACAGAATTATAACAGAGAGCTTTTGGTCTCTGGAGCAAGGTCATTTCTTCTGCAGCATAGAATTATTTGTCCTTTGACAAATAGCTCCCGGCATGCTAACTGGGCCATGGCAGAGATGTTATGGTTCATTGTGAGACCAAGAATTTGCAGATGAAACTTGCCTTTCTGAGATGAGTCCTGTCATATTCATCAAGTGATAATACTGGAAGTGTCCAACAACAAATTATAAGATGGAAGAGTTACATGGGAAACAGAGGATGACCAAAACCAGAAGGCATAAGATGGATGCATGGGAAGGTGTCCAGGACACTATTGGTACCCATAACTTTGCACAAATATCTTTCCCTTATCTCATGGCTATACCTTAATGCAGCATACCCTGTAGCCAGATGAAAGAGGATGAAAATGCATATGCTGAGTTTATGGCTAGGTTAGCATGGCTGTGGATACAAGCTGAAATAGTTGGCAGGTATTCTATAACCTCACCTATGAATGGGTTTTTAAAACAGGCACAGGAAAATCTCTCACTGGGCAGATATTTTGGGAGAATATGTGGTCATCCACCTTGTATGGAAAGCAAAGTGGCCTAAGATTATAGTAGATATGCATTCAAGGGCAATGGTAAAGGACCTGCTTAGTAAAAAATGAATACAAAAAAATATATAAAAATAAAGCTAACTGTATATCAATCTGTGTCAACCTAATTATACAGAGAAAAGAATTATTTAAGTAAACTTTAAACATAGTAACTTGAACTATATAGTTTATAAATACAGTCTAAGGACAAAAATAAATATAAAGCAATTAATTTTACTTTTAGTAAATTTATTAACAGTACTACTTATTGTAATTCTGAAACTACATTTAGTGGGATAGGGAATACATATATATTCATAAATATTTATTTATTTGTTTATTTATGTTACTGGGAAACCTTGTGTTTTTATCAAGACTTTCTGGAGAGAGAAAACTGATAGGAGATACAGAGAGAGAGATATATACATATATATGAGAAGAGATTTATTAGAAGAATTGGCTCACTTGATTGTGAAGACAAAGAAGTCGCTTCATAGGTTTAATGCAAACTGGAGATCTAGGGATACCAGGAGCATGGCTCAATCCAAGGCCCTAGAACCAGGGAAGTTAAGGGTGTAACATTCAGTTTCAGGCTGAAGGCCCAAGAGCTCTGGGACTGCTGGCGCAAACCTGGAGTCCAAACGCTGGGGAACCTGAAGTTCTGACATGCAAGAACAGGAGAAGATAGATGTCTCAGATCCAGAAGACAGAGCAATAATTTCCCCTTCCACTGACTTTTTGTTCTACTGGAATCCTAGTTGATTGAATGGTGTCCACCCATTGAGGGTGGATCTTTCCTACTCAGTCTACTGACTCACAAGACAACTTCCTCTAGAGACAGTTTCACAGACACACCAAGGGCAACCCAGTCATTCTAACCAAAAGCAAAACACCTGGGTTTCCCTTTCAGCAGAAGAGGCATGGGGCTCAGTGCCACTGAAGCATTGAGGATAATGTAATGATTTAGAATTAATAGTGATTTATTAGCTATCAGAATATTCCTAAATTCACTCACATTGACTCGCAAAATCAACCATCACACACAGTTTTCACAATAAGAAAATACGTCTATAAACATATTATTTAAAATGTCTGAAAAACCTATAATATTACATTTGACTGTGATATATTGGCACGTTCTCATGCTATGATACAGAGATATAAATACAGATTTTTATCTCTGTTCACTGGTAGGGCTTATATGCAATGTAATCTAGTACTATCTGGTACACATATCGTTCTGCTCAAAAGACTGGGAGTTCCTTGGAGAAATGTTTGATTCTATGTCTGAAGCTGGGAAAGAAAAAAGGTAAGCTTAAGACATCTTTTGCTGGAAAGTAAAAAAGTGCCCAAGTAAAAATGAGGTCATGTCAAAAGGACATGTGCAAGTTTGAGTAGTCTCCCACTGGTCAAATTCTACAGAATCTTTTCAACAGAATGCTCCTGTGAGAATATCCCTGTAGGACTACTGATGGCAAACAAAACAAAATTAGAATCTATGGAATCTTGAAGCATGACTCCCTGGAAAAGGTCATTGAATCTCAGTAACCAACTGGATATAAAATTAAGATGTTTTAAAATCTAAACACTCTCACCAGGTGAGATGACTAATCTCTAATCCATCTCTACTCTTGGGCTAGAAGTAGGCCCATTATGAGAAAGACTTGCCTGGGGACGTTGCTAACCCTCTTTCTGCTTTCACTATAGCTTTAAAGTGATCATATCCTTGAAATTATTAGCTAAGCTTGAGACTGGTTAACAGCTCAGGTTTATGCAGGTATATGATCCTTTATGGGTCTCATAAATGATTCTGGACTTCTTCATAAATGAGAATCAAAATTATTGAATAAAAAGTTTCTTGGGAACAGGAAAGTCACAGAGATTCAAAGTATCACCTTGCATATTTCTTAGTACTTACAATGCCATGACATTCTACAAGAAAGTTGACCTAGATTTTTGAAGACAGTTAATTTGATAAATAATTTTTTTAATTTAAAAAGAACTAGAAATGATAGAGTATATAAAACACATAACAAAATAATATATTAAAACATAAGGAATACATTTCATCACTTTATTTACTCCAAAACCTTTTCACAGAGGTGGCAAGAATTCAATAAATATTTGCTGAATTTCTCTATAAGTAAGGTGGGTATCTTTTAAACCACTCAGCCTGTGGCCTTAAGTAGAGGCCAAGGAGAAAGACACAGTCAATGACTAATATTTGGATTTTGTTACAAATCACATCAGAACAATAATTCATTCTCAATAGGAAACCCAACTACAGTTAGCAAAAAATACTTGCTGTTTAGGAACTAGTAAAGGACATTGGTTTAGTACTACTAATGTAAAAAAGCTAACATTACATTGTTAAAATGATTGAATTAATTTGGTACATCACATATAACCTCTTTTTCTTATGACAACACCTTGATATAGAAGGTCATTAAAGCTTACCTGTAAAAAACTTGGAATGCCTTTTCATAATACATCAAATTTACTACAAATGTATCTGGTTAATCCCTTACAAAACTTGTCCACTATAGTAATAAATAGCCAAAAGGGAATGCAAAGTGAATTTTTTTTGATTTAATGCTTTCTCAGATTTTCTGTTTGACTCGAGTTTGTCAGAGCATCAGCTGACTGTCACTGCAGACTTTTGCTGCCTCCTCATTTTCTGTGAGAGCATGGAGCTAGCCCTTGACATCTGAAAAGTTTCACTGGGGCCACTTATTCCCCTACTCTGAATTCTTCCTGCTCAAAGCACATAGAATTCTAAGTGTCCAGTAACTTGCAATCACATAATCTTCCACTCAGAGTTCATTCTGATTGTCTCCTGACCTTGGCACCTGTCCTTAATATGGTCAACTGTGTGACCCTGTCTGAAAGCCAAATAATCCCAGGAAACTATATATTAATCACAATCCTCTGCATCATATTCCTCCTAATAGTACCTGATCAGTCCCTTAACTAGTAATTATGAAACACTTAACCTTAAAAAAACAAGGTGCATGGCAAAGACTTTACTACATCCAGGCAATTGCTAACGTATGATCTTAATATATGACCATTTACAGTGAAGATCTACAATGCTAATTTTTAAAAATATATCAAGAACTTACTACCACTTCAGATACCTTTTCAGTAACATTTAGTTTAAAAATACACCTATCCTATGACTCAAAAATTCACCCTAAAAATACTCAAAAGAAGTGAATATAGTCATCTACTGAAAGACATGTGCAAGGATGTTCATAATAACTTTATTCCTGCTTGTCCCAACAGAAAATAATCCAGTTGCCTACAACAGTAGAATGGTTGCATAAATTGTGGTATACTCATATAACTGAACATTGTGCATCAACAAAAAAGAATAATTACTGCTAAATGCAAATAGTACATGAAAGTCAGTCATACTGATGAGTGAAAAAAGCCAACACAAAGATTATTCTGTATGATTCTATTTTTAAGGGATGAAAGAATAGGCAAAACTGATCTATAATACTAGAAGTCAGAAGTCAGAAATAGTTGTTATATCTGGGGCCTATGACTGAAAAGGGGCACAGTAAAGCCTTTTAAAATGTTCGGAATTATCTAGAAAGTGATGGCATATCACATTGAGTTATATACTTTCTGCCCTTCATATTTCATATACCTTGTACCTCTGTTTAAAAAAGAAAAAAAAAACAGAAATTGCAGAAAGAACTATTATGTCAAACTGAGAATTCTTTGTTGACCAAGAAGCACTTACAATTATGTTTGCATTAAAATGTTTTAAGTACATGTTTAGTTTAATCTTTAGTAAAAGCCCATATAGATTTCAATATTGATTTTTTTAGTCTGTTATGGCTTCACAGATGTATATGCCTGGAGAAGTTCACTTTAATTTCTGGGTGATATCTGAGAAAATATGTAGAGAATGATAGAAAGAAAGAAAGAAAGAAAGAAAGAAAGAAAGAAAGAAAGAAAGAAAGAAAGAAAGAAAGAAAGAAAGAAAGAAAGAAAGAAAGGAAGGAAGGAAGGAAGGAAGGAAGGAAGGAAGGAGAGAGGGAGGGAGGAAGGAAGGAAGGAAGGAAGGAAGGAAGGAAGGAAGGAAGGAAGGAAAAACTGGTAAGTCATTGATTAAATTATATGACAATTCATCATGTGAAACTATACAATAATTTTGACAATAAGAATAGACTATTAACAACAAAGATATATTTAGGATGTTGCTTGAGCATAGAATAAAAAATGTTTAATAATTAACTCATTAAGTGATGTTTGCTTCAATGTAGTGGCATCCTTAGCCTCGGTTGAAACTCCTATTATTATCTGTTGGTAAATACTCCCTGACCTGGACCCTAAGGAAAGGCAAAACAACTTATTTCTAGAAAAACGGCTTTCTATAGTAAAGTTTTCCAAGTCCAAGTGCTGTTCTTCCATCTTAAGTGATGTTTGGTGCAAAAAAAAAACATCGTATGTGTAATGAATTCTAGACATTTTCTTGAAGAGAGCTATAGGAGACTTTGATCTATGTTCTTTTCATGGGAGATGGGAGAAGCCTACCTCTGCTTAGCTTTCTGAAACCTCTTTAGGCTTTGACTTGCATTAATGAAATGAATTCCTTCAGTGCTTATGTTGCATGTATTTTAAAAGCATGTAATAAAAATCTACTACCTAGGCTTTATGTGAGTTACTTTATTTTAAAGGCAAAGAGATCAAATCAATTACAGTCTTGTTACTGAGATCTGCAACATAAACTCTAAGAAACCTGCACATCATCACTTCTAAACTACTCCTGTGAATTTATGAATTAAGAATAAAATGATTAGGCTTCTGGTTCTGTACCAGTAAACCTGGTTTGTTTTGCATATATAATCTACTCAAAAGGCAAGAATAAGTCTTGTCAAACAAATACTTTGCATTAACTATTATTAAGAAAGAATCTAATACAATATTATTGTATGCAGATTTTATTTATCCAAACTTAGTTTTATAAAGGAAATTGATACTTTTCCTAGGTGTTCATACAGCTGTAGAATTTTCTTTCCTCTTTTCTTTCTTTCTTTTTTTTTAACTTAGTTTTCTTGCTAGAGGCAGAGATGTTTCTGGAGCAAGGCATTAAATCAAGCTGTTAGCTCTGCCCCATTATTTTATACACTTCAGGTTGCAACTGGAAACACCTACATAGAAATTTATATGGTTGCATTAAATAACTTCAAGCTCAATGTGTTTCTTCAAGGATGAACTAAATGTTCATATGCAGCTTGTACTTAATAGTCAAGCAGAAGCACACTGAAGCTACTTAAAGGGTAAGAAAGAGCTGAGACCTTCCATAGTTTTCGGTGCTCAAAATGAAAGTTTCAGTAATGACAAAAAAAAAGTCCTATTAAACACATTGCTTTTTATGGCCTAATTTTTCTGGGAGCTGTATTGATCAAAAGTATTTTGGCAGCTGAAACTGGACAACAGAATAATGTCCAAGTTCTTACATGTGGCCAAATAATAGCCTGATGTAGTAAATGAAAAACAAGACAAAGAACCCCTAGGAAAGTACATGAAATATAGTATTATAGAATATTAAATCTATTGCAGATAGCCAGTAACATTTAAGCAATATTAAAACAGAAAATATAAAGCTAAAAACTGGGAAACATTAATTCATTTCCTACTAATGCTTTCCTAAGGGACAGCTCCAGGGCCCAGTGGGGATTTATTTTTAAATATTACTTTTCCACTAAGCGACTTTGCTTCGTCCAAATTATATAAGAAAGAATACTTGGAAAAAAAAAAAGTATTTTTGAGGAAATGGAAATCTTTGCAAAGTCTTTCTGAAAATGTTCTAAACTGATACCATGATTTTAAAATGGTCTATGTATTAAAGCAATTTTAAGATATGATGTGAAGGCAACCACTTAGTATACCTGTTCTGAAATGGGTGACAGAAAGTTTCTGAGCTCATGCTGGCACTTCATTAATTCTGGAAATCCATTGTAATTGCAGAAGCCGGTAGTACAAATAAAATCTCTGTAAAGTCAGTAATATAAATAAAAGTACATCTCCTACAGTGTACAAGAGCAATTTACATCACCCAAATATTTTTAAAACATCATGGCTTACTGAATTTATGAACTCAATGCATTTATTTTGATAGGAGAGAATATCCTCATAGGGGGCCTAGAGAGAATTCTTTTATCATTGCATGTAAATGTAAATGTAGGCGATCTGTAAGATGATTTGTTGTATAAGCTTTTTCACATATTTTGAAGCTTTAACTCAAATCCCAACCCGATTTCCAAATACAGCCTTCTTTGTTGTTGCAATAATATTAAGCTCTCTGAAAATATTATAAAATGTGTTGATATTTATCTAAATTTCCATAACATCTATGCTTCAACTTCAACTCACGGAACTTACTTTCTATATAGGATTTGCAAGATCAAGCAAGCCTGAATTCAACATGATAAATTATTATTTTAAAAATCATCCTGAGTATTAACATTTTGAAATCTCTAGTCAAGGTTATTAACATATTAGTGGCAATTTAAGTTAAACTTATAGAGAACAGGCTAATAAAGTGACATGTTTAGTATTGTTATTTGTGTGGTATATATAAATTTATAAATAAACTAACGTATATAGTAGAAGAAATATTTTCACTTTGCATTTCCATGATATTAATAGAATCTTTCAAATAAAACTTCCAGCACTTTTGTACTGTTAAATACCCATTATTCATAATTTATAATAATTTGATTCAGACTGCAAAAGTTCTATTTTATGTTATTCAAGTAATGAATTCTGAGAAAAGAAAACATACAGAAAAATTGCATGGCTGTTTAGTGCATGAGACAGAATACATTATTGTGAGGATTTTAGCTTGGTTTGTTCACATGCAAACAGTACTCATTATAAGTGGTTGTTTTCATTTGCTACATCAGAAGCAAATGAATTTTAAATGCATAACATTTAGCATTTAGAATACTGCTTCCTATATGCTACGTGTTCTTAAACAAAATTACCTTTCTAAGTTCCTTAATTTGTATTATTTGTATAATTAGTACAATTTTGTTGCATATATATTTCAGTGACTCCTTTTCCTGGCTCCCCGTGAGAATCAACTAGGAAATTTTTAAACATATCAGTGTTTGCTCACCAAAGTTTCTAACTACATTGGTATAAGGCATGAGACAGGCATGGCTATTTTAAAAATAACTTCTAAGGTAATGATAATATACATGCAGGATTGAAAACTCTTGGGAACTGCGATAAATTGAATGTCCCCATATTCCACATAAAAAGTATGCATTTCTTGAAATTCTCACCATAAAACATAAACATAAAATTGAAGATAAAACTTTACTACGAGCCTCATGCTTTAGTCTTTCACTTTTAAACAAGCTATCTGTTATCAACTGCTTTTTTTTTTTTTCATTGTTTCTGCCACTTTTCTGGAATTCTGTCCGCTGCTGGTCCTGTTTCATGGCTACCATTGATATTACATGTAATATATTTAGGGAAAAAATTAAGACCTTTTGGATGTACAAGATGCAACATACTAATTTTGTCCATTGGTTACCAGACTCTTGATTTTTGTAATCAACATCAGGTCTACCTGGTGACTTTCCTTTTTACTTAGCCTTAAAAATTAAAATAAAGGGATATTTAAAGATACAATACTCAGAAATTACTATATTTGGCCTAGTATATAACAAATTGAGACAAATATACATACAGAAACATTGACTTCTATATTGTGAGTTTCAAGTTTCTGATACTGTGGATCTAGTAAATGAATGAATATTGCTTCTTAATTATGACACCTCTTCTTATTATTACCACTATTATAAAAATATAAATTCACATATATTCAGTGCCCTTTGTATAGCATTTGTTCTTATACGTAGAACATGAATTATTTAATTTATACATAATCTTCTAAACAACCATATACAAATTTACAATTATAAATAATCCAATATAAGTTGGATACTATTATTCTCATTTCTCAAAGATGAAAATTACATACAAGAAGGTAGAGTAATTTGCCTAAGTTCAATCAGCTCATAAGAGATGAGACATATTTAAAATTCACTTTGAACCAGTAGATATGGGTATATTTTTAATACTTCAGAAATTGCCCAGCGTGGTGGCTCACGCCTGTAATCCCAGCACTCACTTTGGGAGGCTGAGGCGGGGGTATCACGAGATCAGGAGATCAAGACCATCTGGCTAACACGGTGAAACTCCGTCTCTACTAAATAATACAAAAAATTAGCCGGTCGTGGTGGCCGGACGCCTGTAGTCCCAGCTACTGGGGAGGCTGAGGCAAGAGAATGGCGTGAACCTGGGAGGCGGAGCCTGCAGTGAGCCAAGTTAGCGCCACTGCGCTCCAGCCAAGGCGGCAGAGCGAGACTCCGTCTCAACAACAACAACAACAACAAAGAGATGGGACTGGAAATTGAAGCCCAACAACTGGATTCAAGGCTGAAACCCTTAGCCTACAGACTGTTATACTTCGTACTTAATGTTTGTTAGCACTTTATGTTGTGTTTCTAATACAACTATAATAAACAAGGAAACTGAGAATTAAATAACTTACTTTCCAAAGTAAAACAGTTAATAAATGACAAAGCTTAGATTTCTGCCAACATGTGAAAGACTCTAACTTCCATTGCACCTTCTACCCACCATGGTATACATTACCTTATAAATATTCATTAAAATCCCGTTAAATATATTTTCTAAGTTACAACTTTGTGAAAATAAAATCACTTTTTTAAAATGATTTATTGCTTAAGATATGCATAGTTGTCTATTCTTTGCTGTCACATGATTATGGATATGTCTTGAGAAAGACACTCGCAAGTTTAAAAATTAAGATAAAATTTGATGTAAAATATAAAGATATTAATTCATTCACTTTAAATCACAACACCCAGAAGTCATATGTTGCTGATTAAAAGTAATGGCAAAAGTGCAATTACTTTTACAATTTAATAACGTCTTTACTGAAACAAAAATGAAGGCTTAGCCTGGCATTGTGGCATACACCTGTAGTCCCAGCTATTTGGGAGGCTGAGGTGGGAGGATTGCTTGAACCTGGGAGGCAGAGGTTGCAGTGAGCCAAGATCACGCCACTGCAATCCAGCCTGGGTGACAGAGCAAGACCCTGTCTCAAAAAAACAAAAGAATGCAGGCTCATCTCAATTTCATACTAATGGTAAGATGCTGTTTTGTAGGCTTTGACATAAAATCATTTACAGTGGAAATAATTGTCTATTGTCTAGTATACCTATATACAAAAAGTTAAACTGTAGTGTTTATGTGTGCATACATGAAACTATAGTATGTTAAATTAATGATTATTTTCCAATTTGTCTTTCAAAATAAAATATTATCTACTCTTATTTGAATTACATAAACTATTGTTGTGGTGTATTGAGTTCAAATTATTATAGAACTCAACAAAACATAACGGGAATAGCATTTGGAAAAATGGTGCTACTTCCAATAAAAACACATGTCACAGCAAAACAGAACAAATTCTGATCACACAGTCAAAATAATTGTTAGAGCATTATTATTTCCACAATGCTCCTTTGGCTATTACCTCTTACTCTGCTGGGATCTGCCCTCACTCAAATCTGTCTAATTAGCAAATGGCCCTTCCTTCCACCTAGTTGCTCAAGTCAGAAACCTAGGGTCATCCTTAACTCTCATGTCTTTCAGCTCATATCACATCAATCACCATATTTTGTTGACTTTATCTCCTTTCCACTTTAAATCTTTCCCCTTCTGCCATTTCAATGTTGTTATCCTGGTATAGGCTACCACCTTCCTTTGCCTGAATTAATGGGCAATCTCTTAAAGAGTATGTCTGCCTCAAAAAGCACTCTGTTATCATTTCTTCATTATGTAGCTAGAGTGAGCTGTCCTCAATCATTTTTATGTCTCCCCTCAGTTAAAGCCATTGATTTCTCACGATTGTCAAGATAATATTAGCAACATTAGCATAGCAATGCTTTCCACATCTGTAGGTCTCAACTGTAGGTAGTGCCACTTCCCTAGACTAAATCTGGAAAAGTATAGAAGTATTTTTGCATGTCACAATGTCTAGTAGCAGAAGTGGCATCTACTATGTAGATGTCAAGGATGCTAATGATCCTGTTATGCATAGAACAACACCATAAAATGAAGAATTATCAACTTGAAAAGCCAATAGTGCTACCATTGAGAAATACCAAGGTCTTGATCATGATCACCTTTGCACCTCAGCCTCCTCTTGACATTTGCTCTATATAATCCTAATACACACACACACACACACACACACGCACACACGAACACCCCACAATCATACCACATGCAAACATAGACATACTGATCCAGCTTTTTCAGACTGTTTTAGTTCTCTAAATGTACCACGAGTATAGGTTTTCAATAACACCCTGCTTTTAGGGCTACTGTATCATTTATTATCAGCACCATTTTCTTGACTGTTTCAGGATTAGAAAACCCCTCACCACTAATGGAGTCACAGGACTCAAAACAGTACTTTTCACTGAATGAGAGCACTTAATAAATGTTTATAAGTTGAAGAAATGAATTTATTCCTTTATTTGGTGTATCAGTTTTACCTTATCCTATTAACAAAATATAGGAAACATTTTTCTAAAAAAGTAAAAGTACCAATTATAAAAAATATAAATATATAAATATGTATACATTTATATATTTTTGTTTATCTATATATCATACAAATATATTATATAAATTATTTATATATTATATATTTATATGTATTATATATTATAAATATGTATTTAAAATATATAAATATAAAATTCTAAAAAAAGTACCAATTATAGACTCAATCAGTGTTTGACCAGAGTGAATCCATGAATGTTAATGAAAATTGTTGGTTCATGTAGTTTTGATGTCTTCTTTGTAAATAAAATCAGTTTTAGTTCAATAGGTTAGGTAACTGGCAATTGAATTTTATATCTTTCAAATAATAAGTTGACAAATAAAAATTGTGTATATTTGTCATATACATGATATTTTAAAATATATGTACATTGCAGTGGAATGGCTAGAACAAACTAATTAATATATTCATTACCTCATATACTTCTCATTTTTCATGGAGTGGCCACTTAAAATCTACCATTTTAGTGATTTTAACTAATTTAATTTTATACCTATGGCATTGTGATGAAACCAAAAACTGAGAAAATAAGCACATTGCTAATGAAAAAATCACTTGTGTATTCGTGTTCAAAGCACTGAGATTAGAGTTGACTGGAAACAGAGGGAAAACACGTGGCCCCTGGTCCAATTGAGCTTAGGTTAAACTTTGATGGTAAATATATAGAATATGATAATTAATGATGAATGTAATCACCACAAAATTCAAAATAAATGTTGACAATGGGAGAAAAATTAAGACCGTAGTATGATTTCTAGGCTCATGAATGAATTTTTAAGGAGCCGTAAGTTTTGGCGTCTCCAACTCATGGTATAGAATAGAAAGAATTCCATTTTCTCTTATATATTGTCACTAGAGGTATGAATAATGGATCTAGCATATTTGTCCAAAAACAGTTTTGGTTCAAATTAAACTTGCTTCATAATCATTAGGCCAATGCATGTAACAAAATTACATCTAGGGAGTTATAGTTCAAACAGTAAGCAAACATACCAAATACTAGTATTCAGAATTCACTAACACTTAAAGTCATTAAAAAATAATTTTGGAAGCAAGTGAAATATCTTAATTCTTTAAGATTTTCAGGGCTTACAAATCAGTAGCTCTTTGTATCTATACATATATACACACAGAGAGAGAATATATAAATATATGTAGACATGGAATATATATAATAATATAGATAATTTAAAAATAGTTATTATATTTTTATTTTTTGATATTTATTATTTTTTATTGTTTTACAAGAAATTTTAGCAGAACATTCAGAGAGTACCTGTATACTTCTTTTCTTTCTCCCCAGCCACAACATACAACTTTCCCTATTATTAACATCTTACACTGATGATGGTACATTTGTTACAATTGATGAACCAATATTATTATTAAGTAAAGCCATAGTTTACATTAGGGTTTGCTCTTTGTATGGTATTGTTCTATAGGTTTTCACAATAATGTCATGTATCCACAATTACATGCACGGTCTACTCAGTATCCTACAGCATAATTTTACCACCTTTATCACTCTCTGGGCTCTATCTGTTCATCCCTTCCTCCATGCCCCTTAACCCTTGAAAACCACTAATCTTCTTACTGCCTCTGCAGTTTTCCAATTCAAGAATGTCATGTAATTGGAATCATACAGTATCCAATATTTTTAGACTGGTTTCTCTTATGTGATAATATGTGTTTAAGGATCCACTATGTCTTTTTGTGGCATGATAGCTTATTTCTTTACATGGTTGAATAATATTTCATTGTATGGCTGTAACAGTTTATCCATTCACCTATGGAAGGATATCTTGAATGTGTCCAATTTTGAACAACTATAAATAAATCCGATTTTCCTGTGTAAGGTAATTCAAAATAGTTTTGGTAGCAAACCTTGCCTCAAAGAAGTTGAGCCTAACTCCTTACTTCTTAACAGAGGACTATGTATAGTGACTTCCTTTTAAATAGTACAGTGTGGAAAAGGGAAGCAGAAAGAGTAACTTCACAGTGGAGAAAACTGACAAACTACTTCAGCCAGGTGACCAAGGTTTAATCTCAACAGTGACAGGTAATGTTTATAGTACAAACTCTTGGCATGATTTGACAAGAATGGCATCTTACCTCTAATCTTCCTCTTCCAAACCTATATCACAGTCTAATATAAGAAAAAAAATAGGCAAAATCAAATGAAAAATATTCTAAAAAATATTTGGCTGGTAGTCCTTAAAACTGTCAAGGTCATCAAAAACAAGGAAAACCTGAAAACCTATCACAATCTACAGTATCTTAAAATGACATGATGACTAAATGTAATGAGGTATTCTAGATGAGATCTACAAATATAGAAAGGATACTTAAGGTAAAAACTGTGAAATCTGAATAAAGTATGGATCCTGGCTAGTAACTGTGACATGTGTCCCATACAAATGTAAATTGTTAACAATATGGGAAACTGAGGGTGGAGTACATGAAAATCCTACACTTCCTTCCCTGCATTTCTTTAAATGTAAATATATTTGTATTAGTTATTAGGGCTGCCGGAACAAAGAACCACAGACTTTGTGGCTTAAAATAACAGAAAATAACAGAAACTTATTCTCATAGTTCCGGAGGCCAGACGTCCAGAAGCAAAATGCTGGTAGTGCTGTACTTCCTCTGAATTCTTTGGTGAAGATCCTTCTTTGCCTCTTCCAGTTTCTAGCAGAACTTGGTTTGTCACAGCATAACCCCAATCTCTGCCTCCATCTGTTCCACGGCCATTTTATCCCAGTGTGTCTTACCATCATCTTCTTCTGTAAGAGTGTGTCCAAATTTTCCTCTTAAAAGGACACCAGTCACATTGGGTTAGGACCCACTCCAATGGCACCATCTTAACTAATTATAGTACATCTGCAATAACTCTATTTCCACATAAAGTCATATTCTGAGGTTTGAAAAATTAGGACCTCAACATATTGTTTTGGGGGACATACTCTAACACATAACCCTACTCTAAAATAAAATGTTCATTTTTTAAAAACTGAATTTTCCTCTCTAAATATATAAAATAACTCTCACATTTTCCTCTAGTACTTTCTTTGGTTTTGCTTCCTACATCTAGGAGTACGATATAAAGTATGACATACCCATATTGTTTTCCAGTTTTCCTTACAGTTGTCCAAATCCTTTATAATCAGTATCCACTGCATTCCTTGGTGGTGGTTGCTGAGGTGAGGTGGGGGAGAATGAAGAATTTGGTTATGATATGTAAGTTAAATGTGCTGCTGATTTCACTTCTCAGATATTTAAATTTTTAGACTTTATATGTATAAATGAGAGTAAGTAAGCTACTTAGCATTTCATTTGATTCCTCCTATGAGATTTACTGACTTTCTATTGTGCTACTCATTAGTCTCTGTTTCATTTGTATCATTTTCTTCAGCCTTTGTTTTTGTTTGTTGTGCTTTTTTTAATGCCATACCATATACTTAATTAATATACTTCATTAATTTTTATGTATCTATTTTTTAAGATACAATTTTGTTCCTTTTAGGTCTATTTCTTTGCCACATATTCTGCTATTTTTATATCCTCTATTCCAAAATATTTTATGAAATAATACTGATTATGCAGAAGTGTGAGCTTTTCATTTTCTATTTTATTATTTCTTTTTAATTAATCATAAAACATACTTTAAGAATTGAGCTTGTCTTTTTTAAAGTATATGTAGAGAGGAGGTACATTAACATGGTTTGGCTGTGTCCTCACCTAAATGTCTTGAATTGTAGTTCCTATAATCCACACATGTCATGGGAGGGACCCAGTGGGAGGTAATTCAATCATGAGGGCAGTTACCCCCATGCTGCTATTCTCCTGATAGTGACTGAGTTCTCGTGAGATCTGATGATTTTGTAAGTGGCTTTTCCCCCTTTGGCTCAGCACTTCTCCTTGCTGCAGCCATATGAAGAAGGACGTGTTTGCTTCCCCTTCTGCCATGATTGTAAGCTTCCTGAGGCCTCCCCAGCCATCCTGAACTGTGAGTCAATTAAAACTCTTTCCTTTATAAGTATCCAGTCTCAGGTATGTCTTTATTGGCAGCATGAGAACAGACTACTACATACATTTTCTATACTCAGGGTAGAGACTCAGTGCATACAAATAGTTCTACCACTTTAATTATTTTATTAAGTCTTCTCTTCCCCAAACCTTGTTCTTGATCTTTGGATGATTCCCTTTTCCAGGAGAATAGCAAAGTGGCTATCAGCACCTGGAACTGATGGAGCAACCAACCATGGAACACTAGGTGCCCATTGAGCCAGAACTTGGGCTGTGGCCAAAACAGCTCAACGTAGGCTGTGTTTTATCAGAAACACCAAGCCATGTATTCGAATGAGAACAACAAAATATCCATTTATTCTAAGATTAACATGATACATCTGAAATAAAACACTAGAAAGATAAAAGATCACAAAAATACAAAATAAGCAGGTAGCCCTCCCTCACAACCAATCACTTACTGTCATTGCACTCTCCTTCAGTTCACCGCTATGCTCAAATGGTGGGTCTCTTTCTTTCTCTGAAACTGGGGGAAAAGGCTTCAGGTTGTTTCATGAGTGGGTCATCTCAGCATGAGGGTGCGAGCTGGAAACATGATAATTTCACATCTGCTGTATTCAGAGTTGCCCTAGAAGAAATGTTGAAGCCAAATTCTCCCAAAGCAGTGCAGCTGTTAAAACTCTCATGGAAAGAATTAAGTTCCAATTCCTGGAGAGAGGATTATTCAATTATTTAAGGATATATATTAAAACAACTACCGTAAATAATCACTATTTGGGCAAAGATATTTTGAGGCTATGCATATATCCTGTTTCACTTTAAGGAATCTACCACTAATTCTAGCATTCCTCAGTGAATATTGCCTGCAATAAATATTACGATAATATTCTAATAGTTATTTCCTATTTTCCTTATTCCTTCTGTACTTATTAATTGGAATCACTCTGTAATGTACAATGTTCCCTCCTCCCATGAATTTATTCATTCAATCATTATATCACTATAAACTAAGTATTCATTTTACTTAAGGTATTTCAATCAATAGTCTCAGTTTTTGTTTTGTTGCACAAATTCTTCTGACTTTGATGATTGAAGCTATTTACGGTTCATTCCTGTGTTCTTTTCATAAGCCTTCTAGGTTTTTTGTTTTTGTTTGGTTTGTTTATTCCTCCTTTTTCTTTCTGGCAACACAAAATGCTCTAAGACTCATTTTACACTTTTTTTTTTTTTGGCACCAGGTCTAGATGCAGGTATTTCTTCAAAAAGCCCTAGCTTCTTTGGTTGGAGAAGGATGTTTTGAAATTAAGATTCAGTTGCCAGGTGTGCCCCTTGCTATGGAGGTGTCAGTTTTGAGGCCCTGTCAGCTGAGAGAATTAGGACATATATATATATATATATATACACTAATCCATTTATACACACATATCTATACTTATTACTTAGCTCTCTACCTGGAATGCATTAACAGAAATATGAGTTCACACTCTCTGATTCCAGTCCAGCAACACAGAGTTCACTGTAGCATTAACCTCTCTTTATTTCTCAGACAGACACCTGGCTCTCATTATCAATAATACATTTATATTTATGTCCAAAGCTAGAATACAGGTAAAGTAGTTGCAGAATTGCAAATCAATACCCTTGTGAGACATAAATTTACCAACTGGAATACAGTGTTTGTTTACAGTTCTTTTTTATTTTAGTCTTAGATTATATGGTTAAAACACAGTTTTACAAAGTTTTTTTAGTGCCTTCATTATCAGATCCAACACCTTTAATATTCAGATACAGTTGTTACAGTCTGTATTTCATCTTGGATTTCCTTAAATTGTGGTTGATTTTTCAATACTGTTGATAGTAAAATTTACTTTTGCAGTTTATATTTTTGTTTTAACAGATGCATAGAACTGTGCATCCACTATCATAATACCATACACAGCAGTTCCATCACACCAAAAGTCTTCTTGTTTTGCTCCTTTTTTCTTCTGGTTTTTCACAGTTCTGTTTCTGATTCATTGTACTTACTATTTTTATTTAATATGCTATGTGTTACTTTGCCACAGAGTCGATTTGCCCTTGGGCTGCTATCAATTTTGTATTTATTTGTGTAATTTGGCGGGAGTGGGGGGTGCAGGAGGATACAATTTTCCTGAATTATGCCATCTCTTATTTTATCCCCTCATGGTATCTTCCAGCCACTTCTCTGAATTTCTGCATTTAAATTTCTTGACCCTCTTCCAGAGAGATGATTGTTTCACTAACCAATTGTTAATTAATGGGGGAAACTTTATTTCACTTCTTACCTAAAAAATGACAATATGTTTCTGATTATAGTCTTTTGCTAGTAAACATATTTTTATTTTTTATCTTCTTTTACTATCTTTATGGAAATGCTGGGTCAATTCTTTTTAATTATTCATTATTGAAAAAATTCGGTTTATCTGTTCAACTTCCCTACATAATATTTCTCTGTGCTACTGACGGTCCATTACATCTTGCCTAATAGATTCATTTTCACAACTCAAAGGACCTCTTTTTTGTCAGAGGCCACAAAAGCAAACTGCTTCTTGCAAATAGGACTTACATGTGTGATGTTTAGTGAAATCTCACTATCACTGGTCCTGTGAAATAAATTGGGTTTCAGTGGCTTCTGCCACTTCACATTCTCTCTCACACCATTGCTGAAGTCCCTCAGTCTATGCTCCTTCCCTTCAAAAAGTGCATTTCTATTGGCACTTTATGAGCCCTACTCTCGCTGATTCAACATATGAAATATGTTCTGTTTCCCAACTTTCCCACAGACAACTCCTCAGTAAACTTGGCAGACCTTAATTTAACAAAAATAAAGCTTGAATTCTATTTTCTATTTTTCATATTACTGCTGAGTAACATGAACCAATAAAAACTGAATTGGTAAGTATCTGGGTTATTTCAGTGTTTGACAAGTATAAATAATGTTGATATGAATATCCACATACAATTTTTTATGTGAATGTTTTTAGTTCTCTTAAGCATACAACCTAGGAGTGGAATCGAAAGGTTATATGACAATTCTGTGTTTAATTTTTTGAGGAAGTGCCAAACTGTTTTCTAAGGTGGCCACATCATTTGACATTCCTGCCAGCTATGTATGACGGTGTTAATTTCTACACAACCTCGAAAATATTTGCTACAGTCTCATCTTTATCTTATCCATACTACTGGGTGCAAAATTATAATTTATTGTCCTTTAAATTTACATTTTGTAAATAAATGATGTCAGTAATCTTTCCATCTGGTTTTTAGCCACTTGAATATTTTTTTTTTTTAGAGACGCGGCTATTCAAATTCCTTCCCCATTTTTAATTAAGAAACTTACCTTTTTATGGCTGATTTGTAAGATTTGTTATATATTTTGGGTACTTATTAGCTATTGGATGTATAATTTACAAATATTTTATACAGTTCTTTGTGTGTTTTGCTTTGTGCTTTTGATGATGTCCATGGAACTACAAATATTTTTATTTTCAATTGAATTCAATTTATCTACTTTTTAAATTTAATTACTTGTGATTTTGGTGTCACATCTAAGAAACCATTGCCAAATCCAAGGTCACAATTTACACTTATGTTTTCTTCTAAGATTTTTACTTTTATATCTTACATATAGGACTTTGAAGCATTTTCATTTAATTTTGTGTATTGTAGTGAGACAGAGGTCAAACTTCTTCTTTTTTTCATTTGTATATCTAGTTATCCTAGTAACATTTGTTGAAAAGGCTATTCTATCACACATAAATTATTTTGACACCCTTGACAAAAAATAAATGACAAAATAATAAGGGTTGTTTTTTGGACTGTAAATTCTTTTCCTTAATCTATATGTATATCCCTATTGCAGTACCATACTGTCTTGATTATTGTACCTTTGTAGTAAGTTTTAAAATCAGGAAGTGTGAATGCCCTAGATGTGTTCCTCCTTTGCAAGTTTGTTTTAGCTGTTCTGGATCACTTACATTTCTATATGAATTTGGTAATAGCTTATCAATTTCTACACAGAGGCAAGTTGGGATTCTGATAAACATTATACTTTAATAGAGATCAATTTGGGCGGTATTAGTAGCATAACGATATTGTCACCTGATCTATGAAATTGGAATATCTTTTCATTCACTTAGGTCTTCAGTGCATTTATTTTCTTTTTAAGTATTTTATTCTTTTGGGTACTATTATAAATGAAATTTTTTCCTTATTTTTGTTTTTTGATTGTTCATTGCTAGGCATAGAAGTACAACTGACTTTTTTATATAGATCTTGTATTATATAACTTTGCTGAACTTACATACTGGTTCTAATAGCTTATATTTTTATGGATTTCCTAGGATCTTTTATTATTTATAAGATCATATTTTCTGTGAATAATGATGTCTTTTTTCCTTCCTTTTTAATCTAGATTTTTGTTTTTTTTCTGCATGTTGGCCTGGCTAGAACCTGCAGTATGTTATTGAGTGGAAGTGATAAGATTGGATATTCTTGTCTTCTTCCTGATATTAAGTAGGAGCTTTTTAGTCTCTCACCATTAATTATAATGTTAATCTTGGGCTTTTCTATAGATTACTTTTATCAGGTTGAGGAATTTATTGCTTCATCACAGATTGTTGAGTATTTTTTAAATAAAAGTGTGTTGAATTTTATCAAATGCTTTTTCCCCATGTATTAATATAATCACTTGTTTTTGTTTTATACTTTATTAATACAATATGGTACCTTAATTAATTTTCTTTTGTTTAATCAACCTTGCATTCCTAGAATAATCCATTTGGTTGTGCCATATAATCATCTTCATATATTGCTGGATTCTATTTGTTGGTTCAGTTGAACCTTGAACAATGTAGAGGTTAGGGGTGCTGACCACTGTGCAGTCGAAAATCCTCATGTAACTTTGGACTCCATATAATCTAACTATTAATAGCCTACTGTTAACCAAAAGCCTCACCAATAATATAGTTGATTAACACATATTTTATGTTATATATATTATATGTGGTATTCTTAAAATAAACAATAGAGAAAACAAAATGTTATGAAAACCATAGGGGAGAGGAAATATATTTAATATTTGCTAAGTGGAAGTAAATTATCATAAAGGTCTTTGTTCTTGTTTCTTCTGGTTGCATGAACTGAGGAGGAAGAAGAGGAGGAGAGTTTGGTCTTGCTGTGTCAAGCATGGTGAAACCTGAAGAAAATTTGTGTATAAGTGGACCCATCTAGTTCAAACTCATGTTGTTCAAGGGTCAACTGTGTTTTGTTGAGAATTTTGCATCTATGTTGAAAGGGGATATTACTCTGTAGATTTCTTGTGATGTCTTTGTCTGATTTTGGTATCAGAGTAATACTGGCCTCATAAAATGAGTTTGGAGTGTTCCTTCCTTTTCTAGTTTCTGGAAGATTTTCTGAAGGGTATTAATCAATTTTTACACATTTGGTAGCACTCACCAGTAAAGCCATCTGAACTTGGACCTTTCTTTGTAAGAAATTACTAATGCAGTCCCTTTACTTGTTATAAGACTTTTCAGAATTTCTATTTCTTCATCAGTTTAGATAGTTTGTGTCTTTCTAGGAGTTTTTCCATTTTATGTAGATGTTCTAATTTGTAGAATTGCAATGCTCATAGTATTCCTTTATAATCTGTCCCATTTCAATAAAGTCAGTAGTAATGTCTTCTCTTCCGTTCCTGATTTTAGTAATTTGAGAAGTCTCTTTTTGTCAGTTTTGCTAAAATGCTGTCAATTTTTGATCTTTTCAAAGAAATATTTTTAACATAATTGATTTTCTTGTTTTTCTAACATCTTTTTCATTTATCTCCCCTCTAATATTTACAATTGTCTTCCTTTTTCCATGCTTTAGATTTAGTTTTCTCTTTTTCTAGTTTCTTAAAATGAATGTTGAGATCTGGTTCAATTTTTATTAAGTCCCGGGAGTGGGCATTTTTAGAGAACTTCCAGATGAATCAGAAAATGTCAGTTTTCTGGGAGTAGGGTTTTTGGAAAGCCCAAAATCCTTTTGTCACCTGCAGTGACTGCTAGCCTGATCATTTATGTTGAAATTGTAGAGTCATTGGTTTTCAGGGATATTGAGGAGATAGGAAGAGGAAGGTAGGAATAGAGCAAATTAAAATACTACAAATCTCACTGTTCTCATGGAAATTTAGCTACTTTTATTGAATAAATGGTCTTTGTACTGTCACAAAACTTTAATTTCCAGATTTGTGAAAAAAGTTGATTTTGACAATTTTTAGGAATGTTCTCACAGCCTTAATTGAGCATTGAATATTAAGAAGTCCTTACTTCCTCCTTGTTGTAACTTTTATCTACACTAACCAAGCCAAAAAGAGAGAAGACTTAAATAAATAAAATTACAAATTAAAGGGAGACATTAAAACTGATACCACAGAAATATAAAAGATCATGAGAATATGATGAACAATTATTCACCAAAAAATTGAGTAATTTAAAAGAAATGAATAAATTCCTAAAAACATTGATTGAATAAATTCTTGATCTTTTTCTACCATATTTATATTCCTATAGTCTTCCTCATCTTAAAATGGCAACTACCTTTCTCCGGTTGCTCAAGCCTTATACCTTGATGCCAATACTGACCTCTCTTTTTTCTCACATGCCATGTAAAATTCAGCCAGTATTAGGTCTACCTTCAAAAGATACTGAGACTGTCATCCATTCTCATCACTGCTATCACTCTGGTCTAAACTACCATTATCTAACAAACACTGTGTTACTGCAGGTAGGTTTCACTATTTCTGCTCTTGTCTTTCTATTAGCATTGCTTAAAACAGCAACTAAAAGGTTTTCACTGACTGAAATTTTAGCCAAATAAATTCGTTATTCAAAACTCTTCATGTATCCTTATTTCTTTTCTTCTAGTTCTGCCTAATCTGTCTCTCCCTCCGTCAATCTACTTTAGCTACACTAGCTATGAAGTTCCTTACATAAAACACAGTATCCCCACTTTAGGGGCTTTATCTTATCGGGTCTCTATCTTATCGGGTCTCTCTACCCAGATTGCTCTTCCTTGAGATATCTGCATCGATAATTCATATTTTTCTTGAGTCTATGCTCAAATCTCACCTCCTCAATGAGAAAAATGATGACTATTCTATTTAATATTGCAGACTACTGCTACCACATTTTTTTCTTCAAAGTTGACAATCCCTCAACTTTGACAATTTCCTCAACTTTTGACAATTTCTCTTTCTGCTTTATGTTTTTTCTGTTTGCATAACTCTTACTGTCTTCCTACATAATGCATAATGTACTTATATATGATATGTACTGTTTATAGTGTGTCTCTTTCTGCTAGAACACAAAGTACATAAGAATAGAAATCTTCTTGTCTTTGTCCATTTAGTATAATGCTGGGCATATACTAATAATGAAAATGAACTTATGATGAACAAATGCAAACCTCTCAATTTTATCATCCAAAGTCCACAATATTTACCCCATTCTACTTACATGAGATAAGGAGATGTGGGATATGAGATGTTATCTTGTGATTCAGGAGGGTGATATATCTGATCCAGCCAGAAAAGCTCTGAATTTTCACTCCAAAGTGACTTCACTCCTTCTTGGTCTTATTTCTAACTCTAGGATTTCTTTCACTGAAATCCATCCATTCTAAGACACAGCATCTCAAATTGCCTACCTAGTCATATTAGTCTAGATTAAGTAAAATTTCTTCTACAAAGTCATTATACATTTCCAAATTACACTAGAGTGATTTCACCAGTCTTTAAACTTTTACAACAATTAATTTCATAAGTGAGATTTTTTATTCATTTAACTATTCTCTGAAAGCATGTAATTCTAATTACTTGGAAAAGACTCTTAATAATGGGAATTACTATTAATTTTTAATTTTTATCTTAAATGCATTTAGCATACAGATTAAACAAAAGGAAAATTCTTTTTTATTATGTTACCCTAATGAATGTGAATTTTTGGGTTCTATTGGAAAAATTTTGAAGAGACTTTATTTATGCAATATATAAGACTATTCATTGAATTTAACTTTGTACAATTAGCTTTCTAGGTAAGGTCATTGTCAGTCATTTATATTTACTTGTAAGACTTGGGAATTATTATTAATGTTTCATAACATTTCACTACCAGTGACATGAAGTTTATAGTAGCCATCAAGGTGAGTTAAATAAGAGTTAAATATTATGTTCATACCAAAATGTTAACAGATTAAAGGTAATATTGTGCTGAATAAAATAGATGTTTATTACAAAAAATTCATATTTTACAAATAAGTAAATAAAATCCACCTGTAATTTGTCCACTCAAAATTGCCCATTCTTAGCATTTTATTATCTGTGCATCTGGATTTGACTTATGTGAGACCATACTTAACATACTGCTTTACAACTTCACTTTTTTAACATTATAATTGTTTCACTTTTTTAGCCTTTGCATTTTGAACATCTTTATATTTCATTAGCAGTTTTCCAGATAGTTGTGTTAAATACCTTTTTATACTTGCATTTTGCCGATTACCATATTTTTTTAAAATTCATATTGCTGGATATGTAGATAATCCTTTTTAATTATTTCCTAAAATATAAAAAGGATTGACATAAAATATCTAAATATTTGCAAATCAATTGTTTTCATAGCTTTACCAAAAAAAAAAAAAATGAGGGGGAAGATTAAATGGTTGAAAAATGCCTAAGGTTTTGACATCTATTGCTAAATTGTCTTTCAAAAATATCTAATCAACTTATCTTCTTTTAAAATTGTGTAGAAATGTCTCATTATAGAGTATCTTTAATCATCCATAATCATTTTTACTTTAATTTTACTCTTTATTAAGATGGGTAATTAAGAACACTACATATTGACCTAAATTCTGTCTTCTGTGTATTCAGGCTACCTTTACATAAAGATAAGTTTTGACCCTATTTTCCTTTTGGCTACTTTACAATTGTGTTTATTTTCATTCTTACAAGAAGTCAGGACTTAACAAATGTATGAGCCATAAAATTATAATCAGACTTAGGATTTATAATGTACGTCCTAAGCATTCTCAGCAAAGACACTGCTACCTTAGAATTGCATATTTGACAGGTAGTTTTATCTTTGGTTCTTTTACACTTGTTGCCCTGGTTTTTAAATAGAATTTGTCCATTCATTTTACCAAAGAAACTCTCCTTGAGTTTGACAACATGGTGGTGATGGTGGGATGGGATGGCATAAATAAGTAAATAAAAATACAGATCCTGCTCTCAAAGTATTTAAAAACCAGTTGGGAAGAGATTAGCATAAAGAGTCTTGATACAAGAAGAAATGCTCAGTTTTCCCAGAGAGATGTGAAGGCAGAGTCTGGGAGAATGCTGACGGATACAATTCTATTGTCCCAGGGAGCCAGATAAGCGGGCATTCTATAGGACTTTAAATGTTGAATGGGATTACACTTATATTTTCCAAGAAAATAGATGTTTGTAAATGTTTAAAATAATACAAAGAAAAATAAATTTCTATAGACAAGTAACACTGCCTTAAAATAGTTAAAATTTCAGAGCTGCAGGAATCACAATAATTATGTAATCTTATATCATCTCAGGAAGTAAAGGGAATATTTGGGAAGGTGTGGTAAGTTTTAAAAGAAAACCCCAGTTAGGTTATAGCCATTTACAATTCTACAAGTGTCAACAGATTTGTTGACTGAGCAGCCATTTAAGGCTTGAAGGGTTTGAAATATTGAGTGAAAGTATTTAGACCTGTTGATTTGTATCAAATTGGCGGGATTTTGACTGAATTATTGAAATGAATAACCTCATTAGATGATTCTGCCAAAGAAACTTTTGCTTTAAGTATACCTGCATTTTCTATTTATATTTGGCACATAAATCAAAATATATTTCTCAGAAATACTGTTTTTGCTAAAGAGCACTTTCTATTGAAAGTAGATAGTTTGAGGTTTAGCCCTTATTTTGATAGTAATTAATTGTATAAACTTAGGAAACTCCTTTGAGCCTTCTGGGCATTGACTTTTCTCACTGGTTAAAAGAGGAGATTCCACCCAGTGATCTCCAAGTTCCTTCCAATTTTGTCTTACATTAACATTTTTCCTTTTGGCAAAAGTTAGTTGTATTATAAATCTTAAAATTGGATTTTACTTGACAGAGAGTCTATGAAATTGGCTGTTGGAAGCACAAGTGCCCAGTTGTATCGTCAATAATTAGTTGCTTCACTGAAAATGCATTACTTTTTATAAAACCTTCTTCGCTTCCTGCAGAGATGAATACATTTCTCAGGGTAAGCTGCCCTTTCTATTTAATGCATTGTTAAAACTCAAGCAAGTATAAAGGGCTTTTTTTTATTTAAAAAAATACTTAATTTCGCTTTAGAATACAGCTACAGAATTGTAGTACAGACTTATTCTGTGTTGAATACAGGTGGGCTGCAAGATGAAATGCACCTTTACTGTACAAATAAAGAAAGTTGCAGCATATATGGCTATAATTACAAGGCATAATTATAAATAAATTGAATCTGTAGTCATTGAATCTGTTCATCTCATTTTGAGTGGGAAATAATAGTTTTCCCGGAGATGTTACTTTAGCTATGCAAGAGATTGGTTGAATAATAACACACACTTGTAATTTTGTGTGACTAGGCCTGTATTCATGTTACTTTTCAGAAAAATGCTGATTTTTTTCTTCATTCATGGGATATTATTCTTTTTAAACTTTCAGCTCAAGGCTAAAATCTTGTCTGGAGCATGAGAAATAGGTGACCCTTTCTGCAGGTCTAATGCTTGCCTCAGCAGCTTTTCCAAGAACCCAGTGGCAGAATCAAATTATCAGAGGTCATGAAGAGGCTGCTTTTGGCAGTGTGCATCACGCTGGAGGCCCATCACTGATGCAGCCATAATTTTTATCAACGTTACACATACAGCCAGTGGTGCCAAGGGTGTTCAAGATTGACTGACCCACCCATACCCAAACTGTAGATACCTGCTAGTTCACAGGCTCTGAGGTCTCACTAAGCATTAGCCTGTTAAAAATTAGTCAATTTCAGCAATTGATTTAACTTCGAAAACATCATTGGCAGACACTCTCCACTTTATTTCAAGTATTTTCTGATTTTAAGCTCATTTTGTTCTGATGAAATACACATACACACATTTTCTATAGGGTGCTGTTTATTGTAATTTTAAAAGGTATGTTTCTTGAACAGCATGAGTGTATAGTATTTAAAGTATTGTATTTTTATTAAATTGTTCATCAATATTTTATGACAACTAGATTTTTACTCGAAATATCCATGTGGGTTTGAATTATTGTCTCACTCACTGCCCTTTGAAAGCTCATCCCTGAACATCTTTGTATATATTCAGTAAGATAGTTTTTGCTTTTAAAAAAATACAGCCAGACTTTGATTGACTTATATATCTAAATTCTAAGTATAAAAATGTAATAGAATGTTTTCACTTAAAATTACATCTGAATATTTTTCTTATTATTTAATGCAAAGCAGTAAAAAATGCTTTTAAAAGTAAATTTTATGTTTTTAACAACAAAATAGCTATTTCTTTTTATGACATAACTGACCAAAAACAGTATATTTTGTGATTCTCTGAAAAAGAAGGTAAAGGGGCATAAAATAAAAATATATTTCTACAGTATGTATGAATAAGGACATATATATAACTTTAAGCCCAGAAATGTTGTCATCTTAATTAAGTATTATTTAAGTAGTTGGCTCATTCTATATGTTTTCTATTTTTTTTGTAACTACTCTAGAAGACCTTCTTAGACCAGAGCATTTTGCAAGTCATTGTCATCTATTTAAATATGATGACTTCGTGAATTCCGTTTGTACAAAATGTCAATATATTTTAAGCATGTCGCTTGTATAGGGCTAGCTTTTTGTTCAAGATTAATACCGCCAATTGCTATGTTTGAATTGTATGGAACTTAGACCTAAACAGGAAGACTAGGACTACTAAAATTCAGAGTTGCTGGCAGCTTATAACACTGTCTGGAGTGTCTATAAAATATGCTTCTGTAGGAAGACATCAGAGGGAGAAACATAAATATTAATGTAAAACACTAAATTGTAGAATAAATAAAGAGAAGCAGACAGTTCTTAGTGTGCTAGTGGTATCTCTTCATTAACAATATAATTAATAATTGCCCCCAATCTAATGTTTAGTTCTACTGTCACTAAACCAAACAAGAGTCTTAGGTAAAAATAAAATTCCCGGCCCGGCGCGGTGGCTCATGCCTGTAATCCCAGCGCTTTGGGAGGCCGAGGCGGGCGGATCACAAGTTCAGGAGATCGAGACCATCCTGGATAACACGGTGAAACCCCGACTCTACTTTAAAAAATACAAAAAAAATTAGCCGGGCGTGGTGGCGGGTGCCTGTAGTCCCAGCTAGTAGGGAAGCTGAGGCAGGAGAATGGCGTGAAACCGGGAGACGGAGCTTGCAGTGAGCCGAGATCACGCCACTGCACTCCAGCCTGGGTGACAGAGCGAGACTCCGTCCTCCGTCTCAAGAAAAAAAAAAAAATTCCCCTAATATTAGCAGAATTGGTTGAGTAATGATCACTAATTATCTATAATAGGACTCTGTGAGCTTACTTTATATTCAGAAATAGATGTACAAATACTCGAATCATGCAAATTAGCCCTTGAATTGTTTGTAGCCACTTATTAACTCACAGATTTGGGAGATATTTAGTAAAGACCTTAGAAGTCGTCTTAGAATATAAATAACACTAATATTTAGTTATTAGACAGGTTAAAGGTTCAAATGCCCTGTATTAAGATTAATTTGGCATGATTATTACAGAGATTATTTAATTGATATGTGTATATATATATATATATATACATATATATATATAAATATTTTTTTTTTTTTTTGAGACGGAGTTTCACTCTTGTTGCCCAGGCTGGAGTGCAATGGAACAATATTGGCTCACCCCAACCTCCACCTCCTGGGCTCAAGTGATTCTCCTGTCTCAGCCTCCCGAGTAGCTGGGATTACAGGTATGCGCCACCACACCCTGCTAATTTTTTGTATTTTTAGTAGAGATGGGGTTACTCCTTGTTGGTCAGGCTGGTCTCAAACTCCCAACCTCAGGTGATCCACCCACCTGGACCTCCCAAAGTGCTAGGATTACAGGCATGAGCCACTGCCCTTGGCTGAGATACATAATTTCAAAAAGAGTTATCTAATTATACCAATCTCAATTTGGAAACTGAGTATATTTATTTGTTGAAAACATGATTCTCCTAAAATAAAATACTAACTATTTGGTCATTCTAATCTAGATTTAATTTGCAACATTTTTCATTAACTGCAATTATCCATGCTATCAACTATTCAGAAAATTAGTAATGCTATCTTTTCATGTGAAATTACTCATGACAAGGAGTATTGGCATTCACCATATTTTAATAGAGGTATTAATATCAATATATCTCATTGTGATGATCACATCTAACATTTTATCTCAATTCCTGATTCATATAGTTATGCTGATTCTTCACAAATACAATCAAGACATAATTTTTAGAAGAGCTAGCTGTGACAAAGCTGAAGAGCAATTATGTATGTTTGAAAATAATTTCTTGGTTACATTGGGAAAAGCAATGATCTCTTCACAGAATTCCCATTGTAATTAAATCAAAAAATTATTAAAATTAGCCATATATTTGAGTTATTTTTCAATGTTCTTTGATTATAATCCCACAGTGTTATAGGTCTAGTTAAAAATTTGACTTCACTTTTATTGACTGGCTGTCTAGAAAGTAGAAATGAAATAACAAAACATACAGTTTTTCAATAACATGTATGCAATTAATTGAGCTATAATAACACATACACTTTTGTACATGTATGTGTGTGTGTGTGTGTGTGTGTGTGTATAAGCTTTGTTCTCCAAGAATCTTTTTTCTATACATATTTTAGAATCAGATTGTCAGTTTCTGCAAAAATATCTGCTTGGTTTTCTATATGGATTTCATTGTCACTTGTATTAGTCAGGGTTCTCCAGAGAAACAAAACCAACCTGCAGATATATGAAAGGAAATTTTTTAGGGGAATTGGCTCACATGAGTATGAAAGCTGAGAGTTTCATAGTAAGTCACCTGCAAGCTGGAGAAACAGAGAAGACAGTAGCTTGGCCCAACCTGAGTCCAAAGGCCTCAGAATCAGGGAAGCTGATGGTGTAAGCCTCAGTCAGAGTCTGACAGCCTGAGAAGGGGGGTTGAGGGGCATTCATGGTACAAGTACTGCAGTGCAAAGATCAGAAAACCTGGAGGTATAATGTCCAAGGGCAAGAGAAGAACGATGTTTCTGCTCCAGAACTGGTCTTTTGCCTTCCCTTTAGATCTATCCAGGCCTTCAACCAATTGGATGGTCCCCACTCACACTAAGGAAGAGCAGACCTTCTCCACTCAGTCCACTGATTAAAGTGTTAATCTATTCAGGAAACATCATTAGATATACCCAGAAATAATGCTTTACCAGCTATCTGGGCATCCCTTAATCCAGTCAACTGACATCTAAAATTAACCATCACAATAGATCAATTTGGGGATAATTACTGTCATAATAATATCGAGTCTTCAGTTCCAGAAACATGATGTTGTCTCCCCTTATTTATATTTTTAATTTGCCTAGCAATGTCTGGCAGCTTTAATTGCATAGTTTTTCAACTTCTTTTGTTAAAGTTACTTTTAAATATAGTATTGTTTTTATGACCTTGTTAAACTCTAGTTCTAGTATCTCTCTCTCTCTCTCTTTGTGTGTGTGTGTGTGTGTGTGTGTGTGTGTGTGTGTGTATTTCTTGGAATTTTCTATAAAAGGTGTCCGGTAATCTGGAATAAAGGCACTTTTACTTTTTACTTTCCAATCAAAATTCCTCCAATTTCCCTTTCTTGACTATACCGGCTAGAACCTCCAGTACAGTGTTAAAGTGATGAGAATGTATATTCTTGCCTTATTACCAATGATAAGGGAAAAAGACTTCCATCTTTAGCCAATGAGGATCATATTATCTTTATGTTTTTCCTACTTAACTTTTATCAGGTTGAAGATTTTTCTATTTTAGTTTTTTGAGTGTTAAAAAAGTATCACAAGAGAGATTTGAATTTTTCAACTTTTTTTGCATCTATTGAGACAATCATGACTTTCATCTTATACTTTATAAATGATATTGCATTAATTGATTTTAGAATTTTTATAAATACTGCTTTTCTAGTATAAATTTCACATGATTGTGGCTTTTTAAAAAATATGCTGCTGGATTCAGATTTATTGAGGATTTTTGCATCTATGTGAGAAATATTGGTCTGTAATTTTTTGTTTTTTTCTCTTATTGTATCTTTGTCTGGCTTTGCTATCAGAGTAACACTGGCCTTGTAAAATGAATTTAGAAGTATGTTCTCTTTTCCTCTATTTTCTGAAAGAGTTTATGAATAATTAGTATTATTTGGTGTTTATATATTTGGCGGGACTGAACTTTTTGTGGAATTAGCTTTAATTACAATTCAATTACTTTACTTATAGATTCATTCAAATTTTGTATTTCTTCTTGAATCAGTTTTAGTAATTTGAGTCTTTCTGGAAATTTGTCAACTGCATCTAAGTTGACTATTTTGTTAGCAGGAAGCACCCAACAAAGGAACTTGATTATCCCATATATACCATTTGAATTTCTGTAAGCTTTGCTGTGATGAATCTTCTTTCTTTCTTGATTTTATTAATGTGTGTGCCCTCTTTCTATCAATCTATCTCTCCTTTTTCTCATTACTCTATTTTTTCTATCAATTTTATCTATCAATTTAGAATACCAATTTTATTAATCTTTTCAAAGAATCATATTTTAGTCTCATGTATTGTTTCTATTTTTCCATTTTATTGGTAGTTTCCAGTTGTCTTATGTACACATGACCCACATCTGACACAATATGCTGCCAGAATCTCACTGCTAAAATTTATAATAAAAACGTGTCCAGACAAGAAAGAAAACCAAAAATATGTCTATACAAAAACTTATGTATAAATATCTATAATTACCTTATTGATAAATGCCAAGAACTGAAATCAATCCAAATTTCCCTAAACTGGTAAATGCATAATCAATCTGCAATTCATTGATGTAATGGAATAACAATAATAAATAAGATCACAGTAGTGTTACACATAACAAAATTATAAATCTCAAATTTATTATGCTAGGTCATAAAAGGATACACACTCTATTATTCATTTGACACTCTGGAAAGTCAAATCTGTGGGGACAAAACTAAAATCATCAGTTAGGGAAATAGCTTTGGAGGACAGAAAACTGGCTGCAAAAGGGCATGATGTGACTTTTTGATGGTATAGAATTCAGCTGTCCTGTCTCTTTACCATGGTTATTGTTACATGATCAAAGTACCTGCATTAGTACATACAAAGGGCATTAGTACATACAAAGTACATACAAAGTGTATTTATCAAAGTACATGGAATGTTACATCTAAAAATATTAATTTTACTGTATGTAAATTATGCTTTGATAACCCTGACATAAGAAGAATAAAGCTAGAGACAGCCTCATTTTCAGATGTAGTATAAATGTAACACATCTGAAAATTATCATCCATAGATAATTGTACATAAATTCTGTCTTCCCCATGCTTTTTCAATGAATAGAAACCTCTATATAAAATGTCTATTTTAGAGAAGACAATGTAATGAATAAAAATTGGACCAATACATAGAAGTGAGCTTGTGGAATATGTGTTGAAGAAATAATTTTTCATCTTTCTATAATTAAAATGATCTAATGAGAATTTTATCTATTACATGAGTTTAGCCTCAAGACGAAAAACTTTCATTTTCCTTTTTCCTTGTGCATACACACTACTTTTTATCATGTTCAAAGTGAAAATAATTTTTCTCATGAATTCATTACCCTAGAGTTATTGTATACTGACTAGTCGATAAAAAATTTTAAAATGGTCGTGATTAAAACTTCCCTCACATCTCAGGTCACTCAAATATAAGCTCTATTTTAATGTATACTAATTGCAGTGTATTCATGTTTTTCATATTAGGCTGACTACGTAACTGTTTCAAAATATTATTTACAGATGTAGGGTTCAAGGTTATAATATTTAGATGTAAAGTGCCAGAGAATTGTGTTGATTACCTATATGTATCCAAGCAGTTTGTGAATTACTGCCTTGTCAATAGTTTACATGTATAATCTACTTCTAATAATCTTAACCCAGTCATTTATTTCTGTTGCTATTCTCACATAAGTACCTATTGCCGGGAAACCTCTATTGATAACTTTCCAGATTTATTCCATAAAAACCCAAAGTCAAGTAATTGAAGGCATGGAACACACACAAGCAAGTCCTTTTATTGAAAGGGCTGCTCCACAGAGTTTTACGTAAATCTACTGTTCTCTGGTAATTTTATTTTTATAACTTCCTATAAAACTTTATAACTGGTCTATATACTTTTGACTTAATTTTTTTCTACCCTGTTTAGGCAATCTTCATCTTTTTATACCTTGTATTTCATAGTAGAACATATTTCTCAACTCTCCCTTTCTTATTTCTATGATCTTTTGTCATTATTTTGAGCAATCATAGAATACTATTAGACTAGCTCTTTTCTTCAGAGAGAAACAATGAAGTCATGAGTTGATAAGTAGATTTTTGTGAATTTTCCAAATTTTTAAAGTTGTATCAGCATTAACTTAACAATAAGTTTTAGAGATTCACTTTTTTCTATCTTTCCAAAACATTCAACTCAGTATTCATAGAATTGATTCTCTTTCAAATTCAGAATTCACTGCTCTGTAATATTTAATTAAATTATATACTTACAGCAAGAGCTACAACTGGGATAAAGGATTTTGGTGATAAGCACAAATTAATTTTAGAGACTTACTGATGGGAATATATGCATAAGATTACCTGGAAATTCTCTGCATCTGCAACTACTGTGGAATGAGGATCTGGGTTTAATCTAGATAGGCATTTAAGCAGTGACTATTTAAAAGTGTTCTATTGTAGATATTTATTAGACCCCAAAAATATTCCTTCAAAAGCTGAAATGAATTCAATTTCCCCAATTATGCTAGCAATTATTTCTATCACCTGGAAGCATTGGCTTCTCGATTAAAGCATGTGAAAAAATTATTACATTATTTGTGGCAGTTTATAAATCTTATCAAACATGTTACATAATTACTGCACAATTTCTGTTTAACATTCAGTCATTTATTAAAAGAATAACAAGAAAATATTAGTGAAATGGTCATTGTGAATCTTTTAAATAATGTTCTGTGTAAAAATATGCATTACTACATATATATATTTATTACTCATCTTGTAATGCATTTTATGCAATATAGTGGAAACATGCATGACAAATAAATTATTCAGTGGCCATGCACAGAGACTACTTAATCTCTTCACAGCAGGGAATGTCTGCTTTATTCTTCTAAGATTGACAACATACAGTGGTGTTAAAAGAAAGCCTGATAGAAATTCCAGTTACTGTAAAACGGACTGTGATCTTTTCCTCCACATAAAGCATAACCAAACAATCACCTCCCCATTATCTAGAGTTGTTCTGTTGACAACATATGTGTTTCAATACATCATACAGGGCTCTCCTTTAAGGGTCTTTAAACTCCATGATATTTGAAAGAAGCCCTTAATAAGATTTATGGATTGAATTGTGTTTCCCAAAATTCATATATAGAAGTCCTAACCCGCAACATGACTGTATTTGGAGATAGGAAATTTAAAGAGGTAATTAAGGTTAAATTAGGTCATAAGGGGGGTTCCCTAATCTAATATGATAGGCATCCTTGTAAGAAGAGGAAGACATACCACGGATGCACAGGCAAACAGAAAAAAATGCCAAGTGAGGACACTGCAAGAAGGCAGTCTGCAAGTCAAGGACAGAGGCCTCAGGGGAAGCCAATCCTGATGGCACTTTGATTTTGGACTTCTAGTCTCTAGAACTGTGGGAAAATTAATTTTTGTATTTTTACGCCACCCAATCTGTGGTATTTGTTATGGCAGCACTAGCAAATGAATACAACAAGTTACTCTAGTGAAAATAGCATAACAGACTCAAAATCAGTAATAAAATTTGGTGAAATATGTGTTAAATTCGCTTTGCTATTGTGTTTAAGAAGGGGTATAGCTAAATATAATCAAGCACTAAGATTTTTGCAACTTAATGTTCATCATACCTCTCACTTGAACTTACTTTTTTAGCATTAATTTATGTGATTCCTTATTTAATTGTATTCTATTTTATATGGATTTCTACAAAGTAAACCTCTCAACTATCCTTTTGATTTATATTGAAAGTGAGAATATTCTTTATAGTAAATAATTAAATATAATATAAACAAATCCTTCACTGTATGGCTAGATAATGATTCTTGTCACAATTTCATTGCTGAGAAACTGACTAGAGAAGATTTGTGGTTGACTGTGTAGTAGCGTGCTATTGCTTGGCCCTACTTATAAAGACCTCAAAGTAATCACATACAAATCAATGTGTTCTCTGTGTGACACTATCTATATTTTTCCCATTTGAAAAATATGATGATACTGAGGAATTCTTATAAAAGTGATGAAAATATAAAATCAATTAAAACATAAGAAAGAAGTCATTGGAAATTAATAATTTCAAATTTACTTAAGCATGAATTTCTGTTAGGTAAGGCAGTTTTGTTTAGAACAGTTTTAACTTTAGAGCCTGTCATTTAATTCTATGGTTGTCTTCACTTGTTGACACTAATGTACATAATATCTAGGGAGTTGTATGTACACCAAGAGCAAAGACTGACTGTGCAAGCAATTTTACGAAGTAATTTATAAAATGTGTTATGCAGTTATAAAATCAGTAAGGAGTGATAAGATCTCCTGCTGGTTTGAAAGAATAAGAACTAAAGGAAAAAGAAGTAAAGAAATATGAAATTAGATTTATGTAACATACTTTTAAAATCATCAGTTTTATGATATCCTACTGGTAGGGGAAAAATTACATTAGACTCAAATATAAGGGTGACATATTTTAGAATATAAACTGTCACTCTGCTTGCTAGGCAGGCTTATATTACTTTGTTTTTTAATGTAATGTTGATCTATCGAAAGTCTTTTTATTCCTGTTCCCAATACTGAGGTGTTCAACACTCTGGCAAGAAAATTTAAATCTATACGAAGGTGTTGCATTGCATGGCTTGGAAATTTTTCCTCCAATAAAGTGGTGCAATGATTGGTTTTGTTACTAACTGTAGGGAATCCTTAGTGTAAAACGTTTTTTGCACTTTTGCTTGTTTCAAGTTTGTCCACTACCTAAGAAAAGAATAAGAAATACAACTGGGATACACGGTCTATGCAATAACAAAGCAGTCCATGGAAGACTGAAATATTAGTAATGAATATCTGCAATGTCTCCTATATTCTTTTGAAAAGTGAAGGATAAGGCAAATTATATTATTTGAAATCATGCAGATAAAATCAAGTTTATCTAAGTAAAGTTGTCTTTAATTGGTTAACAACTAAATGAAGGGATCTTTTGACTCAACCATTGACTCGCTAAAGAACCTTAAAGGCATTTAGCTTAATCCATCCACTTTGCAGGTCAAAAACACATGTGAAAGTACTAAGTGACTTTTCTTCCTCGAGTAAGTATTGCATAATAGCTAATTGAGAACTTTATTATAAAGTGACCCCATATGTATAATACATTTAGAAAAATAAAAGTAGATGTGCAGATACAGTTATAAAATTTATAGAATTAGTACCTTATACATGTAATGTGAAATCATTAATTTATTTGAGAAACCCATTGCAGTATTTTACATATTTAAAATTCACTTTGAACCAGTAGATATGGGTATATTTTTAATACTTCAGAAATTAATTTTACTGTCTTGACATGTTACAATTGTTTAAAATCCACAAAACACACACTTGATATTACTTTTAGAAGTTCAATACTGAGTTAATGTGGAACAATTAATATAATTATGGATAAATTATATCATAATATTGCAAGAGCAGCTTCAAAACCAGACTGATGGATGGTTTCCTTCCTTTTAAACTCAGATGTATTTGCAAAACTGTAGGACAAATAACCAAAACAGGACAAATGTTTTAAGTGTCATATAAAAGCATTTCAGGGATATATCAATAAAATTGTAACACAACAATTAATTATAAGAAAAGAATTTAAATTTAAGTGTTCAGAGTGAACCTACCCATGCATATTTAAAGTTAAAATTTCTCCCTCTCCCAACTCTGGTCTGCTTTAGACTGATTGTATCTGGAGTAAAATAAGAGAATCAATAGTTATATATTTTCTATTTTTCCACTTGGATCATCTACTCCCCCAGTTTCCTAATTCTAGATTCACAGAAGTGGAATACAGATGAGGTGAATAAAAAGCAGCTATTGGAACTCTCTGGGCTTGGTCAGTGTTTGAAGCTGACATACCCTCTCATTGGATGGTGCTTGGGTAGTGGTGCATAGGTAAGACTGCCAGGTAAAAGGTTCCCAGACAGAAATTTGCATGTAGGAAATTTATTGGGGAATGCTCCAGAAACACTTTCGAGGAAGTAAAGGGAGCAGGTTTAGGCAGATGGAGAGGCCGAGCTGTGATGCAGTAACGACAGAGGCCTCAGTTGATCCCACAGGAAGCCCTGAAACTAAGATGGCCCTTTAGAGTTGGCCAAACTTGAGTAAAGTAGGGTAGATGTTTGCATCTCAACATTCTTCAGAAGGACCAGCTATTCAATATGATCTGTCCCTGCAGGTCCTCTCAACACAGAAAATTTTGTAGAGAAACTCAGCTATGAGCCATGATGATACTTTGGATCCCTTTCTATCAATTAAAACATTGACCCTCTGCCCATCAGGGCCAGAAAATAAAAATAAAAAATCCCTGGATTTCCCACTTCCCTAGTGTACAGTTACCTGAGTAAAAAGTCATAGACTCCCTTTGCAAAAAAACTAGGTAATCATTACTGCAGACAATTCCCACAGTTGCAGTGCCCTTTCTTCTTGGAATCTGGTCTCTCTTTTAGTCAATGAGTTCCAAGTATGATAACTGGTTTGAGGCTGGAAACTGATAGGAGATTATCACTTTTCATTAGAACACTGTCTTCCATTTTCTGATCATTCATTCCTAATTTCATTTGTTTGTATAAATGAAACAGTATCTTTATTGGCTGTACATCCGTGTTGTGCTTTGGAACACTGTGCGTTCTTTTAAATATTCTCCTTATCTCTCAGCAGAACAGGCAACCCTGGCTGCCATTCTACAAACTTGTCACCTATTGTGGTGATTGCATCCACCTTGCCTGTGACAATGGAATGCTGCCATTTGTCCTCTATTACATTAATATTTCTTTATTCCCATGGCTACTGGGAAGTCCATTTCTAAGACCGTATCACTTACTACCAAGACTAACACTCAAAATCTACTGAAGATGGGTGTTTCGTAGACCCTCCTGTCACAGAGAATTTTCCATCTCTAACTCTCTTAAAATTGGCAAATTCATCTCCTCTGGCAGCTTGCTTAGGATCCTCTATCCCTTTTCAGTTTAAGCTTTATTACAAAGGACTCTAACATCTGATCTATAAGAAACATATTCTTTGGGCAACTTTCATTTATTGAACCAGCCTTTCCTTCAGCTGATTCAGACTTTCTCAGGTAAATAATATGTTTTAAATTTGTCAGTTAAGGGTTGAACACACACCTTGCACTGTCTGCATTCCAGAAGAAATATGAAGCATTTTCACTGAAATGGACGTGAGGTTCCACCACCTCTCCTCACTATGGTGAGGGAACTCTAGGCACACCACAAACTCTCTTTATGGAGGTCTCTTGAATAGTCACTGCCATCTTGGCGACTCCTGGAAGAACTCCTAGCAGAACTTAGGTGGTCAGCTAAGAATTGAATTGTTCTTGGCAACTTCCTTAGCAAGTTTTCCTTTGGTTGTCTAATACATCTTTGTGGAATAATAAAGTACTATTTGGAGCTTCAGATACACCGAGAAAAAGAGAGCAAGGGAGAGAAAGAGAGATTTAAAAAATCATGTTACATGTCCTATGATAATTTTGAGTAATTAAAGTTTATAATGAATAACACTTTATTTGGTATAAACATGGTGTCTGTGGTACATTTGAATAATATATTAATGACAGTTTCAGGCACATATTTTTATGATGTAATATTATAAGTCCTGTAAGCATTACAGTGAGTAGCTTTGCATCTCTAACTTCCTCTTAATGCTTTACCAGGGGGAATTGTAGGCTTTGTGGGGCCTAAATCTTGTGTAATTTGGGGCTCTTTTTAAGGGAAATAACACAAAATTACAAAAAGAAAATTAATTCAAAAAGTGAATACTTATTAAGAATGAGAAAATTACTAATGAGATTTTTAAAGCTAATCACACAATTTGGAAAATAAGATACTTTTATTAATTACTTTTCTAACATGCTTTTATAATTTGTAATTTTTTTACACTTTAGCTGTATAGTCTTAATAGTCCCTTCATATCATAATTTTAATATCATTTTCTTTAGAGAGAAAAGAAAGGTGATTTAGTGTTTCCTAAGCAAAAATTCTTAAACTTTTTTGATATTATTTATCATTTTAAATATTTTCCCTTTAAGCCTCTCAACCTGTTATTAGTAAAGTAGTGTACATTTTTAGGATTGTTCTCAAATTTGTAACAAGCTTTATCTTTTTTCACTTATAAGCTGCATGATCTCAGCCCTCAAATTTCCTTGTGTACTCACTAACTAGTGTGTCAACAATGTCATTATTTTAGTGGGATATTAATTACTTTCATGTTATCTTGTAGTCTTAGTTCATTCTGCGCTGCTATAACAGAATGTCACAGGCTGGGTAATTTATAATCTGTAGAAATTTATTTGGCTCTTGGTTCTGGAGGCAAAGAAATCCAAGATCGTGGGGCTGAATCTGGTAAAGGCTTTCTTGCTACATCATAGGATGATAGAAGCCATCACGTGGTGAGAGAGAAAGAAAGAGGGAAGGGATTGAACTCATCCTTCAGGAGGAATCTGCCCTCCAGATAACTAAACCACTTCAGCAGTAATGGTATTAATCCATTCGTGAGAGCAGAACCCTCGTCACCTAATCAACCTTAAAGGTCCAACTTCTCAGTGCTGTCACACTGTGGATTAAATTTCCAATGCATAAACTTTGAGAGATACATTTAAACCATAGCATTTGTCATGTAGTATTTAGTAATTGTTTAATCCAACATTTTAGTTATTTTTGGTAGTGGACTCTGTCTATCCAAATACTTACACAGCTCTATTATTAGAAAAAACAATAGAATTAGAAAGTCTGCTTTCTTAAATGTATGCTCACCAGAAAGTTTTCTGATCTGTATTATGGTGTTTGAGTAGATTTAATCATGAAAATTGAAGGCCCAGTGTAAATGACAATTGTAAATCTATTCTCTTACCCGACCCAGTTTCATAATAAATGTGTAAAGTCACATTCTAGTAAAAAGATTTGTCTATTTCTCAAGATCAAAATACTTTGAAGTGGAAGAGGGAAAACGTTTATAAAATTGCAAAGCTAAAAACTGTACCTTAGATATACATAGTAGTCTAATTGATATGCAAATACCCTGAACACTGTTTTGAATAACGGAGACAACCAGCCTCTCTCTTACACTTGATACATTTGAATTATGAAGAACAGCATTTTAAATGTACTTAGAAGAATAAAGTAGGCAATATTTACCATATTCATCCTAAGGAGAATTAATAGAAAAATATATGATTTACCAACTCATATGAATGCTATTTATCTATACATCTTGATGAAAATAAGACAATTAAGGAAGAAAAGGACAATTTTGAAGCATCATCAGGAGGGTTGTTAAGAAGACAACACAGGTCTGAAAGGTTGCAGCCCTGCTGAGAATATATGTTGAGTGAGCAGAACCTGGGTCTATTGAACTCATCAGCAGTGTGGGGGATGAGTAGGGACAGTGCCAAAGGAAATTTAGTTGCTGGAAAAGACCACCTACTGCAGCTTACTCACTAATTGCTAGTATGTCTTTAGCCTTTTGTTAGCAATGACTTCAAAGATTATTAAATGACAAATGCATAGATGTGTACGTGTATGTAAACCATTACAAGTCCTTTAACAGCTTTTGGTTCCAAAAACAAAAACAAACAAAACTTTTATATAAATGTGCACTTCACTTTATAATTGAGGTCCCAAGAGATAGCTAGCACAAGGCACAAGGTATGTGTTTACCAATTTTCTAATATGTCCCCGCTGAGTGTTAGATACTCAGGCACAGGGGTCTTAACCCAAGTGCTATGCATTTTCCAACAGCAAAATGTCAAGCAAATTAAAGGAGTTTTCTCTTCTATCTAACTGAGCATAAACATGAGACTCAACTCTCTCTGATACAGCTTCCAAGTCTTCTCCTAACTCTAAGAGAACAGTTCTGAACGCCTTTACAGTACTTGTGCTCCTTTTTCAGAGACCAAGCAGCAGTAATTTGTCAAAAATAGACTCTTCTTACTGTCCTGCTTCTGCTTTCACTTTCAATGAAAACAGACTAAGAAGAGGTTGCCATGATTTACTCTTCTTTTTACTTCTTGCTTTAAAAGTAGTTGTCATAAATGGAGATTTAGTTCTCCAAATATTTGATTTAGAATCCTCTGGCCTGGGCGAAAGAGTGAGACTCCGTCTAAAAAAAAAAAAACAATAGAATCCTCAAATTTGAGTCTCTCACCATTGTGTTGACATAGAGGTCTCAAAGAATTTTTAGAAAAAGAAGTTATTTTCCTGTCTTTGGCTACATATTTCTTTTTCTCACTTCTTGGAGTGTGTGATCAGCTGCCCACACTGTGAATAAAGTTCTACTATTTCTTTATTAAAATCCACAACGATACCAAACAACTTTTGAATTTTTTTCTTCTCCTACATTTTTAATTTGGCTGATGCTCTGCTTTAGTTATCTATTTTTTGAAGTAAATTTTGTTAATTTACTGTTTGTAATTGATATTACATTGTTTGTTCATTTAAAGATGATTAGAATGAAACTATAAGAAATTTTCTTATTTCTTTAATGTCCTTCATATTTGTGGTTAGCTCTTCTTTCTCTTGCTTCATGATATTTTTCCCCTTCAAGATATATTGCATATTTCCTTCAAGATATATTGCAATAGTTTGTGAAATTACTCATTGCTAAATTCCAATTATTCACTTTTCTTTTGATCTCTGCATGTTTTTGATGTTCATGTATCTTCTTTTAAGAGTTTATTGAGCTATATTTTAAATGCAATAAAACAAAAAGATCTTAATTGTTAGATGAGTTTTAGCTATTGCATATAATCAAATAATCACTAATAAAATCTTGAAATAAAATAACATAATTTAAAAAATTTCAAGCTATATTTGTCTATTCTACAGTCTTTACATTTTCATAAAAATTTCAGCATCAGCTCATCTTTTTTTAAAAAAAACTTTGGGCTATGTTTTTTATTTTATTGAAACAACATATCAGCATGATGAGAACAGACATCATAAAAATTCAGTCTCCTAACTTATGTGTATGGTATAGCTCTGTATTAATTTAGAACAATTTATTTATAATTTGTCATTTTTTACTCTGAAATAATTTTAAAATTAGAAAGTTGCAAAATAATAAAAACATTCCTGCTATACCTTTCAACCAGATTCCCATAATGCTATCATCTTACATACTTATAGTACAATTGTTAAAACTAAGACACTAACATTGATAAAATATTGTTAATGAACTTACAGATAGTATTTGAACTTCATCATTTTCCCATTAATATCCTGTTTCTTTTCCAAGATTCAATACAAGGTTCCACGTTGCATTTAGTTGTCATGCGTAATTAATTTCCTCACACCTGTGGCTCTTTTTCTTTCATGACCTAGACACTTCCAAAGGGTACACTCCAGTTATTGTTTTAGAAAAGCCCTGACTTTGAATTTTTAAAAATTTTTTATCATGTTTAAACTGTGGCTATGCATTTTGGCAAGTATAAAACAGAAGTGATACTTTAATATTCTCAGTTCATCTTATCAACAGATAAATTATGTCAATTTATCTCATTACTGGTGGTACTAACTTTGATCACTTGGTTAAAGCAATGCCAGTTAGATTTTTTCCTATACATAGTTATCATTTTACCCTTTGTAATAATCTCTTGGGATGATTCTTTGTGACTATGTAAATATCTTATTTCCCATTATATTTTCATCCACTGATTTTAGCTTCCGTCATTGATTAGCATCCACAACAGTTGTTACCATTATGTTTTATATTTCCATTATTTATTCTACATTTTAAAACCGTAATTCTATCTAAGAGATGTTTCTTCTCCCTATTTTATGTTTGTCTGTCTGCACTTATTTGTATCAAAATATATTCATAAATACTTACTTTATTCTAAGGGATATATGCCCTTTCTATCATTACTCAATTTGTTGCTCAAATTTTGAAAGCTTGGCCATTCGTAACTTCTTTATAATTAATTCCTGTGTCCTTTTGACAAGTTCAAATTAATTATATTGTTTTACTACTTCGTCTCTATCTGGATAAGATTCTTATGTTTTCACTATGTCAGACCTGAAGAAAGCATTTCTCCAAAAGGCCATGATTCTTCTTATCGGAGACTGACATTTAAATGCCAAGATCTGAGCAGTAGGTGTGTTCATTGTATTGGATTGTCTTTGCTTCTGGGACCGTTGGACAGAGCTAAGAAATATATCTATATGTTCTCAAATACATCCATATACACAAAACTTGTTATTTCTATAGCTATCTAATAGGTATTTTTCTCTTTTGTTATATACTTTTAATTTAATTTCACTATGATTAAAGAGCACAATTTGTGTCCTATGATTTGTTGTTGTTCTTAGAATTGCTATATGGCCCAGAATATGGTATCTGGAATATATCTATTCTGGTATATAGTTTCAAAAAAGGATTAGTCTGTTAAATAAGATATTTCTCTTTTCCATCCTTTATTTTCTTCATCTGTAGAGAGTAGTGAGCTGCATTTATGGCTCTGCCATTTAATAACTATGTAAATCTAAATATTTTACATAATTTCTCATGAAGTTTCTGCATCTTAAAATGATGATTATAATGATAAACCTATTTCAGAATCATGAAGATGGCAACATATCTGAAGGTTATTTATGTTTGGTGTCAACCTCAGATTAAGAAAACAGACTGTAGACTGAAGAAGCAAATATGATGTAAGAGAGATGATATTTAAAATGAGAGTCGTTTATATAAATAAAGTGGTTAGAAAGTTGAATAAAGATTAAGAAAATAGAAATATCATCCAAAATTATATCTGTGACCAGTGGTACTAAAAGGTAAACATCTCTGTTCAAATGGTATCAAAATATATTAAGTACAATTGAATAATTTAAAACCAATATCTGCCAAAAAACAAAAAAGGCATACAAGGAAAGGAAAAAGAATAAGGGTTGGCCTGTATGTATGTGTGGTGGGGGACTTGAGGGGTGTGGGAATAAACAAAATAAGAATTAGCGATCCTAGAGTAAATATTACAGCATTCTGGAGCTGCTAAAGAAAAGGCCCCTTCGTCTGTTGGCCTGCTGATGTGCTCTTTATAATGAATAATTCCTAACATTTTAAAGGAGTACATTGGGTGCTTGAGGACACTAACAGCATTAAACACCGAATAAAGGAGAATTATGCAGATCTGGCTATAAAAATGGGAAAAAATAGCAAACATCGTTTTGTGAAGGTATATCTGTGTGTCAAGAGAACAAAAAGATAGGTAAATAGAAAGAAATTCTATTCTTCCATAGTAGGGAAAAGAGAAAAGTATTTGATACAATTTGATCAAAGCTATTAGATACAATTAGATGTCAGAGATAGCCCATGCCAGGTAGGAGGTGTGAAGAATTCGTATGGAGATGTGTTATGGATAGAATGTTTGTGTCCCCCCATCAAAAAATTCCTGTGTAGAAGCAGTGACCTGACATGTCTGTAATTGGAGATAGGGCCTATAAGGAATTAATTAGGGTTAAACGAGGTCATAAAGTTAAGGCCTTAATCTGGTAGAATTGGGGGCTTATAATAAGAGGAAGATAGTCTCTCTCTCTCTCTTTCTCTCTCTCTCCACCCACACAAAGAAGAGATCATGTGAGCACACAGCAAACTGGCAGCTGACTCTAAACCAAAAAAAGAGGCCTCACAATGAAACACCCTGATCTTGGACTTCCTGGCCTCTGGAACTATGAGAAAATAAATTTATATTGTTTAAGCCACCCAGCCTATAGCATTTTGTTATGGCGGAAACTAATACAGAATGTAGTGATTAATTCTCCCTCACAGGATTAAGGAAGCCCAAAACGGTGAAAGAGCATGGCACAGATGCCGTGCTGATTGGGACCACCCTAACATAGGCACATAATAAGCACCACAGTAGAAATGGCAGAAGGATTACAGGGATACACATTTTAAATGTGCTAATAATATATAATTAATATTGGGGAAAATTTCAACAAAATACATTTTGTTATTAACACTGGGCAGCATATCAAATAAATTATTGGTGATTAAATATGAGACATTCATTTTACAAGACAAACACATGCAAAGAGGTAATGAAATCCAAGGAAATTTTTCAGAGTAAAGCAATAATAATAGTAACTGAGGTTATTTGACTTCTATGAATTTTATTTTGTCAACTTGAAAATGGAGATGATACGATTCATCCTACTTACTTGAAAAAGGTATTGTATATTTTCAGTAAGATAAAGCTTTTGAAATTTTATTATAAAATATTGAGGATCATATAAATTCCAGTCATTAATTTGTATAAAGGATGTGAACAGAAAAATACATAAAGCTTGTGAAGAGGCTAATTTAGTAAATAATAGTTGTGAATATTTTCCAACAACAGCATGTGCAATCCTATTTTTGCAGCTCTTGTTGGTAACCCTAGAAAACTATAGGATGGATTTAGTCAGAACTAAATATACATACTCACCATGAAAAACTTGAGCCATGCTAATGTAAGTGAAATTGTTTTAAATTTGAATATTCTACATTTAGAAGGCAAATACTCAGAGTTGAAAGACTAATAATATTATTACACTGAAGAGAAATAACTTTTAGACATGGAGAATACAGAGAACATGATTGAACCCCAGATTTAATAGGAAAAATAAAAAAAGAAAAGAGAAATATGATGAAATGTCTAAAATGATAAAAATAGGATACACAGAACGTGGGGATGAGGACATTAACACATGTCTATGAGAACATGCAGAACATTACCACCAGGGGTATGACAAAGTTAGCACTTCATGTGTTTAACTTAAATTTCAGATAAGTTCAAAATTACCAACACAGAAAATTAGGAGCAATAAAAATAAAGAATTATGGGGTAGAAGAAACAGAGCTACATTCAATCTTTGAGTTTGCCATAGAAACAAAATATTGAAAGATTTACAGTTGAAGAGGTCTCGTAAGTGCCTTTGGACAAGACCTTGTGCTATGGGACAATTATCCCTCACAATAGTGAGGTTGAGTACAATGTCTGTAAGTGCACAGGAGAGAAATATCTTTGCTGAAAGTACTGAAAATAATGGTACAGGAGGTGACTCGCAGTGACTTTTTTAGTGTATTAACTAGACAAGTGGAAAATAATTATGGGGTAAAAGAGAAGTGCAACAAAGCAAGGACGCAGAGAAATGAATGGCTTGCTTGGGAAATGGCAAGCAGTTTAACCTAGATGTATCAGACAGTCTTGATTATGTCAAACAAAGCAAAGGTATCAAAAATACATTATAAATTAGTTCTCAGGACTGTATGAAAAGGAAAATTATAAAAGAAGATCAGGGAATTTTAGGCCTACATATGAAGACATTTTGGTGTATTAAAAAATGTGAACTCTTTCTAAGTGTAAAGATCACAAGAAGACTAAGACAGATAATATATTATGAAATGCAGAATGAAGTAAGAATGTCGAGGACTACAAATCTAAGGTGAATGAGCTTTTAAGTAAGTGACAGGCAATATTGAAGTTTACTTCGGTGTTGGCAGTGCATATAAATGACCAGTCATTAGAATTCTGTAAATTGGTTTGTGCACTGGCACTGTATCTTGAACCCAAATGGTCAGTGGAAACCTATACACAAAGAACGTGAAAACACAGCTTCCCATGTTTATTTTTACAGAATGGATGTGGAGGCCAGAAGCTTTCTGCACAGGCCCATTCTGTTCTTTCACTTCCTTTCCATCACAGGAGGCAACTCTGTTGAGTTCAGCAAGAAAATTACTGATCATACAAAAAAATTAGATGTTGAACTATTGTCCTCCTTCTAGTTCTAATTAACACTTACATGATTTAATACACTTCTGACTATAGCATTCTTTACAACAATGTTTCATATGCTTTTAATTAAAAGAGATGAAGAAAAGATAATAGATCACAATGAAAATAGTTTAAAATTTGGCTGAAGATGTTATCACTATTTGTTATTTTATATTTCTATTTCCCCAAATATAAAATGGATAGATTGGACAAAATGATGTATATAGTTCTTCCCAGCTTTAAAATTACTTTAATATATGGATTTGGAAATATAAAATTAAAAAGTTGGCAGAGCTTTAAAAATATCAAAGTGATTTCTGAATGCCAAAATTAAATTACACATATTCATTTCAAAAATTTTAATCTGTTCCTTTTTTATTATTAAATGAATTAAGTATCACATGATTTTAATGCATTAAGTAGTGGGGTAATGGAACAACAAAATGAGCTACACAATATATTCAGATGTCTATCATTAATGCTTTAATATTCACACATACCCTTTCCAGAGTCAAAAAATATAGAAAAATTATTGGATACTTTTGTTTTCATGCATCTATATAACCACCTCTGACACCTAAGCTTATGCCTGTTTCAGCTGTACAGTGGAAGTCAGAGAGATTCTGTATTATAAAGACAGCCTGGCCATGACTATATAAACAGTTACCCAGAAACATAAAAAAAAAAAAGAAAAAAAAAAGGTGTGGTTAATCAAATATTCAAAGTAACAGAGGCTAAGATGTATCTGTCAAGTAAATCCCTATCCCATCCACCAGCCTCTCCTATCCACACACACTTTGATGAGTTAATATTCTGTCTTCTAGAATAAATGTGGAAATTAGGTCTATTTTCAACCATCCCTGGAGGACCTGCTCAGAGGTGCACCTTGTCTGTGATTGTGCTCTGCAGACACCCACTCCATACTGGCTACTGGTCATTACCTGGACATGAGCACTTCCCTTTCCACAGAGGCCACAGGGAAGCTGACTATGCAAAAGCCCGACTTCACTCTCCTCTTACCTCTCTATTTTCTGCAACATTACCTCAGAAGATTGTGTGTGTGGGTTAGAGAGAATCTTGTGCAATAAATATACCAGGGTGCAAAATGATAAATACATTCCTTTTTATTTTCTGATCCATGCTAACCCTTCTCCATGTATCCACTTTCTGGGTAAAGAGATAAATAATTTCTTTTCAGTTATGTACTTTAGGATAAGGTAAGAGAAATTATTTGCTCTCTAAAATCCATTTAATACTGCAGTATGAAGACTTATTTCTCTCTTATACAGCTTCCTGGTGGTATGCTCACTGACCTAGGGGCCCTTGAAGATGGCCACTCTGCCGCCTTTGTGCCTGGCTTACAATCAATTGTTTGCTCAGGAATGAGAACGGAAACACCCAAGTGCAGCTACCAAGGGGGCAGCACCTCATAGTCACCCCCTTCCAAGGGTCTGTCCTCTACCTGACAGGAGTTACTGGGGAGCATGATCTCCCAATAGGATGAAAGGCCTTCAAAATCTCAATCCCTTCTCAGTCACTGTGGGAACTCTCAAAACACTTCTATTCCTACATTCACACCTCCAGCCTAGGTGTTTAGTTTTGTTTTGTTGTTTTAATTAAAGCAATAAAAGATTGGACTAAGAATTTTCTTTTCGGAGGTCCTGTACACTACTTGCCTTTAGCAAAGCCCAGAGGAAATACAAAGGCTTAATTACCTTCTTTAAAATGAGATCGAAGAATACCTATTTCTTGCAGACACGTAGAGTAATGGAATAAATCATAAATTTTCAGTTATTATCATGCCACATATAACGCTGTCTTATGTTTGTGGAATGGGGGATGTGTAGAAGACAGGAATGAGGAGACACATCCAACAAACTACATCGTTTACATTAATCAAAAAATTGTACAAATAAAAGCAAAATTCTAGCTGTGGAAACTACTTTGAAGAAGAGATGAAGACAAGCAGCACCTAATAATAAGTAAATATAGCCTCTTAAATCTCTGGGATGTGGATTAAAATTCGAATTTAGATATTATCTTTACATGGCCCTTAAGCCATCTTCTTATTCTTTTTTCCTCTGTTATAAAATAGAAATAATGATATTTACATCCCTGTTATGAGGATTAGATAGAATCAGTATAAAGATGTCACACAACCTGACACTTAATATGTGCTAAATAAATGGTATGCTTATTGTGGTTATTACTGTCTTTGTGATAGATGTTGAAGATAAAATGTAAAAAATAGTGGAATATAACTCCCCCGCATATTGTCCCAGATCACTTTTGCTTCACCTAATGTGGCAGTTAAATAGAAAATAATCCATTAATGACTTTATACCTATCACTGAAGGCAAAGACCCAGACATATATTAGTAAATTTAGAATAACAGCTTCCTATCTGAGACCATAAAGGTACCAATAAGTTTAACAATGTGACTCACCTACCTTTACCTCTTGCTCTGAAATATAAATATGCCTCACTGATTGGAGGGTATTAAGAAGCAATGCACCTATTTCTATGTATCTCTTTTCATTCTAAATACATTGAAGTCACTTAAACAAACTCTAGAAGTAATTCCAAAATTACTAGATTATATAAAATTTATCAGAAATTCAAGACATTAAGTTTCCCATTAAGTACAGGAATCGGAGATGCATGATTTAAATTAATTTTGTACTCCTGAATTTTATGTACTATTAAAATGAAAACCACCATATCTGCCACATATATAACCAGATATTAAAACCAACTAGAAAATATGCTGCAATAAGGCATTCAAGAGTAAAAAGAAACTTTTATTGCCTTGGGAGAAAAGAATCTTTTAGAAGGGCAGATGTAGAAACTTTTAGGACTGTTCATGAAAAATGTTTGAAAAGAATAAAAAGGAAATGTTTCAGACCAAACTTCAAAGCACCTTCTAGACTTTGGAAACATAGAACATTTTCTGAGAGAAAGTGCAGAATATTCCAACACTGGGGATGTGGGTGGTTCAGATGGTGGTCTTAGTGTTAGTGTTGGTTGATAATGTAAAATCTAAGCATATTTGAGAATGTTTCAGAAACAAATTCAACAGGGGCTGATAATTTTACTTGATGGTAAGATTGGGAAAGTGATTCTCTAAGAAGTCAACTAAAATTGACCTTAAGCTATTAGACTGAATCATATAAGTCTAATATCTAATCTAGTCTCTCTATGCCTATTAGGGCTTAGTTGGATGAGTTTGCAGAGTTTCTCTCTCAAAGCAAAGGCCATACAAATCTCAAAAACTGCATCTCTCCAGAAGGCTTTGGAAACACTTTCTTAATATATTTCTGTGCTGTGAGTGTTAATTCTAGCAGGCTTGGAATTGGCCTAAATTGGTTTTCTGAAGTGGCTGCAGAGCACTGGCCCTAGTTGAACATAAAATGTACAATATCACATTAAAAGCGCTGCTTTGTAACTGTAGATCTAGCAGTTTGAAGTCATTTTGCCCCAATTCATCATCTTTCCTTATTGGTAACAGTGAGACTGATGATTTGTTCTTGGTCTCAGTGAGACCTCTGGAGGACACTACACTGAAGATCCTGACATCGCAAGAATATATTTACATTACCAGCAGGGTATAAAAAACCCTGTTCAAGATTTCATCTTGGGTTCCTTGGTTTCAGGGTTCCCCATGTACCTTGAAAGAATGAGATAGATAAATAAAGAGAGAGAGAGAGAGAGAGAGAGAGAGAGAGCACATACATCCAATATATCTATCCCTGTAGAGAGGACATTTTGAGTTGGCACTGGCCTCTCAGTACCCCTTGCTGTGAGGCAGCCACAGCTCTGGTACATATGCTTACTTTAATGCTTTCACTATATTTTATTCTTTTTTCTTCAATGAGGCATCCATTTGTCAGCATTGCTTTGGATTCCTGTGAGTCCCTTTTAGCAATGGAACCCTGGCTAACTGTTACAGTTAATGCAGGTTCATGAAAGTATGCTGTGATACAACATAGAAAATATATTGTATCACAAATATTGTTGTCTATTACATGAATATAATGTGAATTTTTGAGGAAAAACTGCTATGTTTTATTATGTTGATCATTTTTTAATGTAATGTCAGGAATGCTGTTCTTGGAATACGTATGATGTTGGTAGGTTAAAAAAAAAGTTACATTTTAAAATTTTCTTAGCCAGCCATGATAACTCACACCTGCAATCCCAGCACTTTGGGATGCTGAGGCAGACAGATCACTTGAGGTCAGGAGTTTAAGACCAGCCTGGCCAAGATGGCAAAACACCATCCCTACTAAAAATACAAAACTTAGCTGGGCGTGGTGGTGTGTGTCTGTAATCCTAGACCCTCAGGAGGCTGAGGCAGGAGAACCTGGGAGGCAGAGTTTGTAGTAAGCCAAGATCACATTACTGCACTCCAGCCTGGGCAATAGAGTAAGACACCGTCTCAATCAATCAATCAATAAAATATTATTTATAACAAACTAACCTTATTCTGATCTCTCATGCTAGATTTTCAGGAAATGTGCTTTAAATCTTGCTGGAACTCCCTCTTCACCTACTGCCAATGTGGCAGATGTTTACTAAGTGTTTACTAAATATTTGCAAAACAAAACACCACCCGAAATGGAAGCATTTAACTTTGGCCCACATTGATTACCACTGAGGTGCTGAGGTTCTGACACACATGATTCTTTGAAGTGCTGATTCTTCCAGGCTATGCTTGGGGAATAAGACCAAGAAATATGATGCTTAAAGTACAGCCTTCCTAGCATTACCATAAATCCATTCATCCTCTTGGCCAAGTCACCATTCAGGATACTACAAGACAGGATCATGTGATCTCAATACCTACATGACCCATAGGCTGCTTTCTCCTCCCCAGTGAGAAGATATGGTTTTTTTCTTCCATGTTGCTGCCTCTTCCCCTCACTGCTTCTACTTAATAACCCACTCCAGGACCTCAGGACTAAGAATAAGGATTTTGGAGGGATATTATCAAGATACTTTCTGCTGGGCTAGTAAATTCCCTTTAGATGAGAAGGGACAAAGTCTGGCTACCTTCTGAAAATGGAGTGGTAGTATGGAACAGGAATACATATGGAAACATTAATAACTGATAGCAGCTAAATAAATAATTATCAGCATGTATTTTTACATACTGGATCAATGCTTGTGGTTTTACTAAGAAATAAATTAGGCTACAGATAGAAAGAAATTCTAATTCCATTTTAATACCTTAGTTGAAATATAGTTCACATACCATATAATTCACTCAAAGTGTACAACTTAATGGTTTTTAGTACATTCATAGTGTTAAAGCAAACTAAATATGGCCTGAGAAGGACTCCATACTTCTATATTTGAGTCCTTGTGGACAAGCCGTAACCTAACTTAATACATAGACGAGACTGAAAACCTAACTTAGGAGTATGCACCTGTAACAATAGCTGAGTCTTGGCCAATTCCAGCAGCCATACATCAACCACTCACACACTGCTGAGTGTTCAAACTGTGTTCAAATAAGGCAAATGCTGAGCTGTAACCAATCCAGCTGTTTCTGTACCTCACTTCCAAGTTCTGTACATCACTTTTCTTTTTTGTCTATAAATTTGTTCTGACTACAAGGCATCCCTGGTGTCTCTGAGTCTGCTGTGATTCTGGGGGCTTCCCAATTAGTGAATTTTTTTTCTTGCTTAATTAAACTCAGTTAAATTTAATTTGTCTGAAGTTTTATTTTAACAGTAGATATATGCAACCATCACTATGGTCAATTTTAGAACATTTTCATCACTTCCAAAATAAACCTCATAACCTTTAATTATCACTCCCTATTTCCTGCCTCTGTCCTTATGCAAACACTAATCTAGGTTTTATCCTTACAGATTTCCCTGCTTTATTTATTTAGCTAAATGTTTTCAAGGTTCATCCATGTTTTGGCATGTATTAGTATTTTGTTCCTTCTTAAGATTGAATAATATTTTACTATATAGACATATCACTTTTAAAAATCTATTCATTGCTTTATGGGCAATGAATTTTTTTTCCATTTTTTAACTGTTATGAATAGTCCTGCCATAAACATTTGGGTATATGTTTTGATGTGAACATGTTTTCTCTCCCTTGAGTGCAAACCTAAGAGTAGAATTATTGTGTCATATGGTAACTCCGTGTTTAATTATCTGATGCCAGTTTTCCAAAACAGCTGTGCCATTTTACTTTTTCATCATCAGGATATGAGAGTTTTAGTTTCTGTACATCTTCACAAACATTGCTTTGTTATCTGAATTTTTGATTCTAGCCATTCTAGTAGGTGTGAAACATTATCTCATTGTGGTTTTGATTTGCAGTTCCCTGATGACTGATGATGTATGTGTCCTGTCATTTCTTGGGCTTATTGGCCACTTGTGTATATTCCTTGAAATAATGATTATTCAAATACTTTTCACATTTTTAAATTGGGTAGTTTTATTATTGAATTGTAAGTTTTCTTTATTTAGAAATCACATATTTTATAAAAGGCTTATCTCTTAATTCCATTTTTATTTTGGTTTTATTTAAAGATAACAATTGTCAGTAGTTTTGTAGTTTCATAATTTTCTAAGTTTCCATTCATTTGTCATTTTTGTTGGAATTTGGTAGGACACTGCACAGTTACTAGTGTTCAAAATTCAGAGACTCTGAGTTTGTTGAGATTAAGAAGAGCAGGATGGGGTTAGAGTCCAGTGAATCTTTTCATAGCAAGCTATGGGACTGAAGTTAGGATTGTAGCAGGGAAACGCAACAGAAATAAAGTGATAGGGAGTCAATTACCTGAGGCTGTTGCAAGAAAAGAAAATATGCAGAGGCGTAATCTAGACTGATAGACTCTGGGGTATTGATTGAATGTCTCTGCTTCCCTCCTGGTGTTCCTGCCCTTCCTGCCTTAATACAACTCATCATTTGTATTTATTAATCAAAGCCCCATGTGATATACCATTTTATGGATATTATCAGTTTATTACCATTGGTTTTTAAGCAGATCACCATTCTTTTAGCCATTATCTTATTCCTATTGAAAAAGAGCATGTTGTCACTTCAGCTTGTTTGAAGGAAATACTACAGGTTTTCCCATTAGTGCTACTCCATTTTCTCCTGATAGTGTCCAAAATAAATTAAATCCATGTGCTCATCTGCAGCTCACATCAAACTCCTTACTTTGCAGGATTTAAATAACTTCAAATAAGTCCCTAGGGTTATCCTCAATTGAATTAATAGCTGGATTCCTACCACATAATCTTTTGAAAGGCAGCACAGTCTTCCCCTGTGAAATGGTTCCTCTGACACTTTTCACTTAAAGTGATAGCTACTTCCTAAATTTAGTGTCTGTAAAAAAAAAAAACCACCAAAGCATGTTGTTAAATGCAGGTTCTTAGGCCACAATCCCAAATCTTCCAAATCAATAGGCCTTGGGCAGGACCTGCCACTCTGCACTTTTAATAAGCTTTTAAGATGATTCTGAGATAAGAAGTCCACAGGCCCTACTGTGACATGAGAAACCTACCTTAGAAGATTGTTTTTCTTCTTAGAGTAAGAGGACACTTTTTTTGCTTGCCCTTTCCATCAACCCTCCTAATCTTCCCATAGAAAACATCATAGACAAACTCAAGAACTTGCATCATTTTAATCTTTTCATATTATTTTTCCCCTGTCTACTCCATTTTCCCTACCCATGTTATGTATATTAGATTTTTTATTTTTTTATTTTTTTATTATACTTTAAGTTTTAGGGTACATGTGCACAATGTGCAGGTTTGTTACATATGTATACATGTGACATGTTGGTGTGCTGCATTATTATTTGATATCTATCACATCACATTTGATAATTTTTATATTCTTATTTATTTCGTTTTGGAAATGTACCTATTTTCCATCTTCCAGTTTTCTTGTAGCATTATACACAGTGTTTATTCTTTCTTCTGACCTAACCACTTACCCCTTGCTTTCAGTTAGTAATAGAGCTTGTGAGGTGTACCCCCATCCAAAGCTACTTTGCAACACTTGTCTGCAGAATTTTCCAGGAAATATTGTCTTGTCAATTTTTAGTATTCTCTGGCTTTCAATGACATAATAATTTCCTTTGCCTTTCATAAGCTCCTTCCTGTATAGTTACAAATGTGACTTTCATGGCTGCTTGTGGTTTATTTCCACTTACATATCAGAATTCATGGAAATGTCACCTAATTTTTGGCTTTTTAATATTTATCACTATTAACTTTATTCTGGATGCACACATGAAGTATTCTGCATAGGAAGTAGACTTCTTAATTACTTTACAGAAAATAATAAATATGTTGACCGCCTGTCCCACCTTGTCCCAGATCTTACCTTAGAAGGGACAGATGAGAGCCAAGGGAATCTTTCCTGTGCAAGTGGCTGGGCCCTCCATGGTCATGGGACAAGGAAAAATTATTTTTCTCTGCTTACAAATGGGAGACTTCTGCCTCCATCTCATCCTGAAAGAATCTCCTCCCTACTTTATCCTTTTATTACATATAAAAAAGATTTCTAGGATCTAGATAGTCTTGTGTCTTAGCTTTTATGATCTAGAGATGTTTCCAATTTCTAGGGCTTCATCTCTTTTGAAACAAATATCTAGGTAAATAGCTTAATAGTCTTCACGGCACATAGGGGCCCAGTTCGGTAATCATTTAGCCCTTTTGGAACAGAGTAATTAACCAAATGAATGTCTACAAATTGAATTTTCAGGTCACATGGAGAATAAAGTGCTTCCAGGAGAAGTAAAAACAAACATTCTTTATTTTTATATTTTATACATCTCTCTGTCTTAGACGGATGGGGCTTTTTACAACAGCATGAAGAAATTCAGGTAAGTTTATTTTCCTACACTAATGTACATTCAAAAATTCTTAGTAAAAGAACAAGAAAAGTTTATTATGCAGGAAGTTAAATCAGCAACTCTAGGTTGCTTAAACCCTGCCCATTCCAGGAAAAAAAAAAAAAAAAAAAAGCCTGTCTCCTTCAATGGTTCCTGGAAGATGAGCTATGAGCCCTTGTAATATTCTGCCTAAATGTATGTTTGTATGCCTTGACGCTTTGGACCACATAGTAACAGTTTGAGCAGACAGTCTGTGGTAACAGTATAATTTATGGTGCATAACTATTTTTGCTCTGGCTCTGATGGATGAAATCTATTAGCTGAGGTCAGTCAGGAGGGTGTTGCATGTCTGTGTGACTGACTTCCAGTAAAAACCCCATACACCAAGGCCTAGCTGAGTTTCCCTAGTTGAAACGCTTCATATATGTTGTTGCTGGGAGAATTAAGCACTTCCCATGCAACTTCCCTGAGAAAGGACAGCTAGAAGCTCATGCCTGGCTTCTCCTGGATTTGCCCATTGCACATTTTCTTTACCAATTTTATTGTTTCCTTTTAGTGTAATAAACTGTAACCGTTGAGTATGATAGCTTTTCTGAGTCTTGTGAGTCCTTCTAGTGAATCATCAAGTCTGAGGGTGATCTTGGGAATCCCTAACACAATTGTAAAGGATTAAAAAATAAAAAATAAAAAAATTTATATAATCACTTTTAGTCATTCTTGTAAAAATTATCAATGTTTAATTATATATTAAAATGGGAGTTTAATCTGAAGCTCCTTCCAATGTGAAATACTAAATTAATGTGCAGTTCTTTTCTGTGTTCTAAGAACCAATTAGATGACTTCCAAAACTCTCAACCATTTTGAAGGCTTGAGAAGGCAAGTGGTGGGGATAAGAAGAATGAGAAGAATTTCTTCAGAGTGAGCTATTCTGCTTTTCTTCTAAACAAAGGGAGGAGACTGCCCCTTCTTTATTTAAAATCAAGATGATGCTATAAGGAAACTTCTAGAAATCTTTGCGTACACGGTGAACTGGTTTCTAATTCATGATAGACAGCTGGCAGAGCCAGGCTAAAGTGGTGTAAGATAGTAAAATAAAGGTATCTTTTGGACTCTATTTGTTGAAGTAAAAAATACAAGATATTTTTCTTTGTACCTGATATAGGCCATACTTTCAAGAAAGTCTGCATAGGGTTTTCTTAAACCCTATACATGATAGACACCTGAAAGAATTAGGGAACTTTTGTAGTAGAATACTGATTACCTAAGAATGTGGGAGAAATCACAAGCAATCACTTGATTGCACAGGAAATATGTGCTGTTGTCAAGGGAACTAATAGACATTGGCAGAGATGGGAAACTTTCTTAATAACCCATCAAGGTGCTGACAGAGTAAATCTACAAAGCGTAATGAATGATACATCATCGTGATGGTCCTAGTCAAGTGAGAACTCTCCTGGAGAGTTGTCACTCCTCCCTCTCCACAACTCTAAACACAGAAGAATGTGGAGGCTCCAAAACTGTGGTTAGGGAGGGGAGGAAGAAGTTGAGAAAAAGACCTATATGAAAGGAAAGAGGGATACAACCATAGACATTCCCTTCTCTGAATTCAGATTTTGCAACTTGTGCTTCTTGACTTAAATGCTTATTTTGTCTTGTATTGATCCAGCTTCTTCACCTTACTTTTACTTAATATTCACATCTTGTACCTTCTTCCATTTCTTTAAAACTATTTGTTCTCTCATAATTCATGCTTGCTTCAAGCAAGAATTATATTTTGGTTTGTTTTCTTCACTGGAATCCAATGACATTAGCATTCAAAGCACTTATACATGTTAACCCAAAATGTCTGAGACAGGTCTCAGTCATTTTAGAAAGTTTATTTTGCCAAGGTTAAGGACACACCAGTGACATAGCCTCAGGAAGTCTTGATAACATGTGTCCAAGGTGGTCGGGGGTATAGTTTGTTTTATACATTTTAGGGAGACACGAGACATCAATCAATATGTGAAGGATATGCACTGGTTCAGTCTGGTAAGGCAGGATAACTTGAAGTGGGGGCTTCCAGGTTAGAAGTAGATAAGAGACAAAAGGTTGCATTCTTTTGAGTCCTTAATCAGCCTCCCACTGAATATACAATTTAGTCTGGCTCAGTGAATCTGCATTTTTACATAAACAATAGGGCAGAGGAAGCAATCAGATATGCATTTGTCTCAGGTCAGCTTAGATGATGACTTTGAGTTCTGTCTGTCCTTTGTCCACAAGGAATTTCCTGTCGGTAAATTGTGAGGAAGGTGTGTATCTTCTTTGTAGCTAAAATGGGAGGCAGGCTCGCCTGACATAGTTCCCAGCTTGACTGTTCCCTTGGCTTAGTGATTTGGGGGACTGGGGTCTATTTTCCTTTCACATACATAATGTCATTACTGAGACACTGATTTATGTCTTCTGTCATAATGATTATGTCCTCCTTAGCACTTCTGCCTTATGTTCCCCTTTCATTCATTTCTTTACATCTTTTGCATTAATTCCGTATTGTTATTATTGCGTTTTCCCTTCAATTAACTTTCTACATATATATTTACAAAATTACAATGATTTAGTGGTAGCCCTTGACTTGTCATAGACTAATACAAATGTCTCTGGTCCTGCTAGAATTCATGTACCTTTTCACTTTGCTTATCCTGCTATGTATTTTATACATAATTGCTTTGCATTTTATTTTTACATATATTTTGAGTTGCACAAAACCTTTTTTTTACAACCAATATTGTTTATTATGGGCTTATATATTTACCCTTCCTAATGTATTTCATTCCTTCCCTTAGTTTCATTTTTTAATCTAGAATTATTTTCCTTCATCCTGAAGATAAAGTATTTCTTGCAGAAAAACCAACTGGCAAAAAAAAAAAAAAAAAAAAAAAAAAAAAAGTTAATGGCCTAAACTTTTGTTTTCCTGAATGCAAGCCTTTAATGGTAATAAATATTTCTGCTGGATTAGAATTTTAAATTGGCAGGGTTTTGTTTTGTTTCTTTCGACAAAAGAAACAAACAACAAAAATTTATTGGCTTAAACAACAAAAATTTATTTCCCAGCTTGCCAAGTGTTCCACAAAACTGTAACATTGGCCAGGCACGGTGGCTCATGCCTGTAATCCCAGCACTTTGGGAGGCCGAGGCAGGAGGATCACAAGGTCAGGAGATCAAGACCATCCTGGCTAACATGGTCAAACCCCGTCGCCACTAAAAACACAAAAAATTAGCTGGGCGTGGTGGCGGGCACCTGTAGTCCCAGCTACTGGGGAGGCTGAGGCAGGAGAATGGCGAGAACCCGGGAGGCGGAGCTGGCAGTGAGCTGAGATTGCGCCACTCAACTCCAGCCTGGGAGACAGTGAGACTCCATATCAAAAAAAAAAAAAAAAAAAAACTGTAACATTATGGATGTATATATTTTAAGCTGCTAAATTTGTGGTAATTTGTTACTTCGTAATAGAAACATAAAATACTCCCTTCTTGCTCCCCTGGAAGTTACCTGTACACTAAGCCTAAAACCTGAAGGAGATCTGTTTTGATCGTCAGATTTTCTCAGCCCAGGCCCAGTCTCCTGACCACATAGCTTCAGATTGTGACACCTGTTTTGAAGGGGACACTGACAGTGAGCATAAAACACTTCTCCTGCTGGTTTTGTCTTTCCAGCAAGGTGTCTTTTGTGAAAATTTTGAAAACCTTGTATTTATTGCTTCTACAGTTCTCTGATGCATTCAATTACATGTTTTAGTAATTTGTCCCCTTTCATCTAATTGATGCCTCCGGGAATGTTAACTTTCACCCACCTCATTCTGTCCTGAACTAGATAATTTAATTACTAATTACTAATTTTGCACGTAGTGACTTCAAGTTACTTCATTTTTTTTCTTTTTTTCTTTCTTTTTTTTTTTTTTTTTTTAGGACAGAGTCTCATTCTGTCATCCAGGCTGGATTGCACTGGGCACTGGTGCAATCTCGGCTCACTGCAACCTCCACCTCCTGGGATCAAACGATTCTCATGCCTCAGCCTCCAGAGTAGCTGGAATTACAGGTGCACACCACCACACCAGGCTAACTTTTGTATTTTTAGTAGAGACAGGGTTTTGTCATGTTGGCCAGGGCTGGTCTTGAACTCCTGACTTCAAGTGATCTACCCACCTTGGCCTCCCAAAGCAATATGTTTACTATTGAGAAATTTACATTTCTGACCAAAAATTTGATCCTGGTAAAGGGAAAGACTAACTTCTATGGGATAAACTTAAAGCATGATTGGGAGAGAAAATAAAGTTGCTTCAAGATATTTTGTTCTTATGTGATGCTTGTTTAATGGAAATGTAAGTGTATGTGTACATGGATGTGTGCTTGCATGCTTTTATTGATGTAAAGACACATTTTAAAACAGAAAAAATATTTAATGGACACATGCAAAGTTTTAGACTCCTGTACTTTTGAGTCCTAGTACTGAGCATTTAAAATTATTTTTCATGTTCCCTAAATTTCTATGAAGAGATCACCCTGCTTTTACACTTCTGTATTATGAAAGATTCCACATAAGAATAAATAAATCACCTTAAAAAGTTAGACTTCATATGCTAACATCCGTGGAGCTCTCTGACAGGGCTACAAACCAGCTCCATATCTCCACTCTGAATCAATACTGTTGGTCTTTACTCAAGTTTGTGGTAAGTAATCAGCAATAAAGGATTAATATACTCCGGTATAATGAGAGGCTGTGGTCAGCACACCCCTCAGGATGATGACTTAAAAAGTCAACATTTTTCAATCTGAATTCTGCAACCCTTAGTTCTGCCTTTCCCTCATCCTCAGTTCATTCTTTGACTCAACACTAACAGAAAACAGTTCTCTAATCCTTTAAGGGGAAGTCGTGAGGTGGAATTTTTAAAATATGTTTACCCCGAGGTGTTTTTTTTTAAGTTGAATTTATGAATTATATTTTGGGGAGCTGACACACAAGCTTAGGCAGATCAGCATGCTGTCAGGATGGTGGACATGATAAGTTTAATTATCGTGAAATTAGGCGCCGGGCGCCGTGGCTCACGCCTGTAATCCCAGCACTTTGGGAGTCCAAGGCGGGCAGATCAGGAGGTCAGGAGATCGAGACCATCCTGGCTAACATGGTGAAACCCCGTCTCTACTAAAAATACAAAAAATATTAGCAGGGCGTGGTGGCGGGCGCCTGTAGTCCCAGCTACTTGGGAAGCTGAGGCAGGAGAATGGCGTGAACCCAGGAGGCGGAGCTTGCAGTGAGCCGTGATTGTGCCACTGGACTCCAGCCTGGGCGACAGAGCGAGACTCCGTCTCAAAAAAAAGAAAAAGAAACGAAATTAGGCTAACTTGGGGGCAACAGGCTTGTAACCAGACCTGTCTTCTGTGCAGAAAAGTAACCAAGACACAGAACGACTCTCAAGTTCTGAACATGCGCATCCTGTTCCGGAAGTAGAGCAAAAAAGGCATCTTAAGCAAACTATTATTTTTGGGGAGAAGGAAAGCAATTAACGAAGCCTCTTGACATTTCATGTCTTAGTGAATTGATTTGATTATATTTGATGACACTAATCATATTAAGAAATCCAAGCAGACAAGTAGGTGATGTGAAAGCTGTTTGTCAATTTACAGCAGGGTCCCAGTGAATAATTTAGAGACAATATGGACAGCCAGGACAGCTTTTGATTTTAGAATTTGGAAAAAGAAAGGTCCCATGTTCTTAGACAGTGGTGCAGGGGATAAGGCAGTTTATAAGGTAGATACTGGGACACAGGGAATTCAATGACAAAAACTGAGATACACACAAAAAAGCAAGGACTGGGTGACCAAAGCTGAATGTCTTTTTGGGAATAAGTTTGAGAACAAGCTAGAAGGGAGATTACTAGAGCTGACACTCACAAAATCACATTCAGAGAAACACTAATGGTAAAAATACTAAATCTCAAAGTGAGGGATTTGCTGTTCACATTACTCTTGACCGAGATTAAAATTGGTCCTAGAATTCTGGTGAGAATAAACTTTCAAGTTGGCTAGATGTTTCTCCAATGGTAATATAGACAGGAGAAACTGAAGAGCAATAAATTGGCTAATCAGGGCTTCCACAAAATTCTCTTGAAAAATTTAATTCTGTACACTGAAGTTATCAAAAATCATTTTATTTAAATTATTTTTAAAGTCAGTTTGAATCAAAACAGTAGCATTAAGTATAAAAGGTATAAATTGCTTAGATTTTTTCTGTAACCTCAAATAAACTAAGTTTAAATATAATAGTAAGTATTCAAAAACTTAAAATGTAGTCATATTCTAAATTTGTCATAAAGTGGTCCATTATGTTCAGCAAAGTTTATATTTGAAAGAGCCATAAGAACACCTGGAGTAAATTAGGTTATCACCTTATAATGAAAAATAAGAATACAACAAAAAATATCTCAATTATATTGGAATAAGTTGGAGATACTGAACAAATCTGTTAATAGGATAATTGTAGGCATATAAAAGTGATTAAAGAATAATACAAAATCTTAATGCTAATCATACTTCTCTATTTTAAATACTTCACAATTATCAAATTCATCAATTTATATAACATTGTTTTTTATCGTTTGCAATATTTAAGACACAGATAAGTACCAATCTTGCTATGGTATTCTACTATTGAACATATAAAGTAAAAAAGCAATGTGAAGATAACACATATAGAATTTCAAATAAAATACTGTTTCAGATTAGAAAGACAACAGTTAGATTAGATTATAACCTAAACATCAAAATTTTACTTTAAGTATATTAACAATATAATTAGAATTAATTTATAAAATACACAGACTATTTTTAAAGAAAAGGCATATTTTCAGTAAATTTTAACATGTGCTTTTTTGCAGCAGTAATTTACACTACAAAGGATAATATATGAAGGAAAAGAGAGTAAAGGGAAAATAGTCAAGTTGGATTTAGACTACACTACACTGAATGATGTGTTTGTAAAACTCCAGGATCCTTCTTAAAATTTAGCTTATGTTCAGGAAGAAATCTAATTATCAGGCTGCTAACAAACAAATGAAAGCTCAGCTCAGGGTCTAAACCAAGATAACTGAAGTGTCTTCACAGTTTTGGCACTAATTGGTCGTTTACAGCCCAGGGAATTTTTAGAACTGACACCAAGAAAATGAAAGGCTTTTGCTTAGTCACTGATGTTTAAGTGACAAAAGGCAACAGCAAAGACAATCTTTCTCCTAGGGAAGATTTGAGAAGTTCTGCAAAAACTGTTAAACTAATGTATCTATAAATATCTGTGCAGTTTTATTTGCTGCCTTTTCTTTATTGCATACATATAAGGTTACCTATATAGTGTTTTGACATACATATGCATAGCGGACTGATTACTACAGTCAAACAAATGAACATATCTATCATCTCACACGTTTGATTTGTATGCATATATGTATGTGCGAGTGTGGTAAGAGCACCTAAAGTCTACTCTCTTAATACATTTTCAGTATATAATACACAATTATTAAATATAGTCCTCATGCTGTATATTAGATCTCTAGTTTATTCATTCTGACCCATATGTCCCCATGCGCCCCCCAATACCCTGCCCCAGTAATCACCACTCTAATCTCTATTTTTATGTATGCAACTTTTTAATTTTAAAATTCCACATATACCTGAGATCATGCAGTATTTTTCTTTCTGAGTCTGGCTTATTTCATTTAGCATAATGTCTTTCTGACTCATTCATGTCAATGCAAATGACAGGATCACTTCTTTAAACTGAATAATGTTCCAGTGTGCATATATGTGTGCATATATATATATATGTATATTTACTGATGTATACATACACAAACGCACACACAATAGATGTGTTCACCATTGGTCTGTTGACACTTTGGTTTCTTTTCATATCTTGGCTCACACTTGTTAGAATGGCTGTTATCAAGAAAAGAAGCAATAACAAGTGTTGGCGATGGTGTGGAGAAAAGGAAACCCTTGTCCTCTGTTGGTGGGAATGTAAATTAGTACAGTCATTATGGAAACCAGCATGGGGGTTACTCAAAAAAATTAAAATAGAATGGGGGTGGAATTACAGCAAATTATTTCATTTTATATTACATCATCAAAGTAGAACAAACTGTTACATATTCCAGCAATCCCAGTTTTGACTATATACCCAGGGAAATGAAATCAGCACCTTGCAGAGATGTCTGTATGCCCAGGTATATTGCAGCATTATTTGCTGTTTCTTAAGCCAAAGCAAATTATAGTTGGTTATAGATTTAAGAACAGGAGATTCCTATATATAAATTCAATAGTAATAATATTTTATTTCCTGGAATTTTTACCTTACACCCAAGCAAAGTGAAAAATACAAAGCCTCACAACATGTGATATTTTAGAATTATATCAATTTGACTAGTCTTAAAATTACACATGTCAAAATGTTGAATGTGTGCTACAGATGCTTAGCTCTGGCTCATCAATTCCCTCTCAATCTTTAATTGTACAGTACAAATGTGGGTGAATTCATGGAAAACTGGATTTTTCATAAATGGAAGATAAGTTAGCCTTATTAAGCAATATTCCTTTCCATGAGCAATTTCTGAAAACTATTAGATATTAAAAGATATTAAAACTTTATATTTTTCTGAGGCATTACTCACACTGAGAACTTTTTCCTGGCATTCTGAAAATAATAGGGTGGGATTACAACAAATTACGCTACCTTTCAGTTTATTACCAAAGTGGATCAGATATTCACACACCAGATATAGTATTCATAAACTGTCACATTACCTTCTGTTGTATTATTTTAATGTTACTAAAATGGAAGACAAATGATTGCTTAAATAATTATTCTTCATTTAAAGGAAGATATTTATATAATTATATGTAGGTAATATTTAAGTAGCAATTGTAGTAAAGATTCAAAATATGTAAGAACAAAAGAAAATATATTATGGTCATCCAAGAATTCAGAAAAATATTTTGAGGAACTAGGATATTCCTTTTTCCCTTAGATGTTGGGATGTCTTTCTTGGTCTTCTACTACTCCTTCCTGTCTACAACTTTTAGTTAGTAATAGTGATGGCTTTCTCTTCATGACTTCTGTTTTAAGGAATTCTGTGCTCAGCTTCCTCTCTTTCCACACATCCCCCTATCATCTCAGCAATCATTAGCTAGGTCGTTAGTTAGATAGAATGATAGATTCCAAGTTTATATATTAAAGCCAGACATTTCTAGGAGGCAGTTATCTCCTTGTATGTACAACTGCCTTTTAGGACAATTCTGTAAGTTCTTCAGGATCAACACATTCATAACAACACATTAGACTTCTCCTTTTTCTGTATTTCTTACACCCATGAATGACACCATTATCTAACTATTTACATACCTCAAAATAAACTGGGCCTGGCACGGTGGCTCACACTTGTAATCCTAGCACTTTGAGAATCTGAGGAGGGTGGATCACTTCAGGTCAGGAATTTAAGACTAGCCTAGCCAAGATGGTGAAACCCCGTCTCTACTAAAAATATAAAAATTAGCCGTGTGCAGTCGCGGGCACGTATAATTCCAGCTACTGGGGAGTCTGAGAGGAAAAAATAGCTTGAACCTGGGAAGTGGAGGTTGCAGTGAGCTGAGATCGTGCCACTGTTTTCCAGCCTGGGCAACAGAGTGAGACTCTGTCTCCAAACAAACAAACAAATAAAAACAAAAACAAAAAACTCGACATCAATATAAATTCATAATTTTTTTTTTTGACGGAGTCTTGCACTGTCTCCCAGGCTGGAGTGCAATGGCACAATCTCGGCTCACTGCAACCTCCACCTCCCATGTTCAGGTGATTCTCCTGCCTCAGCCTCCCAAGTAGCTGGGATTGCAGATGCCCACCACCACGCCCGGCTAATTTTTTGTGTTTTCAGCAGAGACAGGGTTTCACTATGTCGGCCAGGCTGAAATTCGTGATATTTTTAAGCATGAATATAATCCTCAATTATTTGATGGACTTCAGTTAGAAAGTAGCTTTTATTATTCATTAATCAATAATATTAATAAAAACTACTGTGAATCGCTAACGTTTTAAAGTGATTTTCAGTTTATCACTAAACAAATATTTAAAGATTAAAAACTCCTCTGTGTGTGTGTGTGTCTGTGTGTGTGTCTACATAGGCAGGATGTCTTGTTTATCCAATTTTCATATAATGCTTAATTCATATATCACTCCATAAAATCCCCAAAAGTTGATGGTAAACAGGTTGAAAAATACAAACCTCTCTCTTTGAAATTCAAATCTTCCTAATGTTGATCTATTTTTAGACCCTCATTATGTCTTGTCAGAATTGTTAAAATAACCTGCTAAATGTTCTTTCTCCCCCATGCTGTGACTGATTCTAATATAGTTTAATCTGACAGTTGTTACTAAAATGCAAATATTTATTTGAAAGCCTCTCTTCAATTCCAACAAAGAAGTGCCATCAAGTATCTTAGAAAAGTATGTAAAGTGATTTTTATTCTGGTGCTATTTTACCTTACTTTTCCCATATGAACACTATATTGTACTCTTATAATTTGATAGTTTTTCTATGTTTTTACTACTTCCCTTGGAAATTGTCCCATGTTTTACCCTCTATACACCACTGACACATCACCATCTGTCAAATTTTCTCTGACTTTCCTATGCAGATATCAGATCCTCCCTTGATAGCACCTTGCTAATATCTTGCTGTGACATTCTATTCTGTGAAAATTGTTTGATTATACGACTTCCAACTAGTGTGTGAACTCCCTGAAAACTGTTTCTGCATTATTTACCTTTACACCCCTAGAAGCTAGCAATGCTAGAAATATAGGGAAGGGTGGAGGGGAGAGAGAAAGAGAGAGAGGAAGAAAGAGAGAATTCCAAACCAAAACTTTTTATTCTCATGTCAGACTCATAGAGCCATCTGTTTACTGATCATTTTTACCTAGATGTCTGGCAGATTTCTGACACTCAAAATTAAACTTGAAGTTTCTGTTTATTTGCTTTTCCTTTTTCTTTTTTTTTTTTTTGCTTTTATGTTATCATGTTATGTTATTTTGACCTAAAATGCCCCACACTAACATTTCTGCTTTTTCAACAATCTTTCTATCTCCAATTCCTCTGCCCCACCTTTTGTCAGAGACAGTCCCTGAATCCCCTATGTAGATGAGCTCTGTATTTCCTCAGAGCTTTTAAATCACTTTTTAAACATTTTTTTCACTTTTGCTACTTAGTACTTTTCTTCGTGACAGAGAACTTGTTAAATTCACCCTTTCTTTTTACTGGGTTCTAAATATCCACAGGACAAGTCCTAATAATTTTCCATTTCTGTAGTTTCTAGCAGCATTCCATACATAAAGTAGGTCACTAAAAATGCTTTTTAAGTAATATTTCCTGCTGTACACAAAGCTATAAAGACATCATCCTATTATTTTTTATCTGTATATTAACTTATACCTTTGTTCAAGAACTTTACTAAAATAAAAAGATTGAGTGCTGAATATGATACAAAACTGTGAGATTAATATTTTTCAAATTCAACTAACTCATGCTGGGCATGACTTGAATTATTAGGGAAAATTTCATGAAAACACAAGTGAGAATAACAGTTTTCTCTTTGAAATATAGACTACTGGTTCAAAATAGCATATCAAAAATAAAGAAAAGTTAGGAAAGAAAAAAAAACCTCTTGTTTCTGAACCATTTTTAGAGGGTTTATTACTGCTTGGCTAAACAAAATTGTCTTTTCATGGCAGGAACAGAGTAAAAAGAGTAGATTAAATTAGCCTATTATGGAAACACAGAGGAGACCCAAAGGCTTCTCTTTCAGCTAAAAAAAAGCATAATTTCAGGGAATGATTATACATTCTAATCACACTGTATAAAGATACATGGTAAGAATTCATCAGCTGTCTGAAATTTTCTACCAGAATTCCACATGTATTCTGGATAAAAATATTCTTTAATCAAATTGAAAAAAAAATGGCCACTCTTGTTTCCTGTGGCTAAATCTGTAAAGTATTACTTTCCCTGTTAATTGTCAAGTATATATTTACTCAATTAATACTTTAGCTTGATTAATTAGGACACACAAATATTTTAATTCTAAATAAGGTACAAATTCATGTATAAAAAAGTTTTTGCACAACCACTGAATTTGTGGATATGCCTTGAATTATTGAAGAAAAATGTAATGAAAGAATCATTAAGGAGTATTCTGTTCTTTCTCTCTTAAATACAAACTATTTATTCAAATAACATGTCCAAAATAAAGGAAAGCTTAAAAAAAGTCTAAAATAAGTTTGATTCTGTGCTTATTTTTAGAGTTTATTGTATCCAGGGGAAATAAAAACAGCTTCTTATTTAAACTCAATAAAAGAGTAGATTAAGTAAGTCGGACTATTATGGAAATAGAGATGAGGCCCAGAGGCTTCTTCACTTTCAGTTAAATGCTTAATTTCAGGAAAACATTCTAGGGTCTAATCACAATACATAAAAGGACTCACAGGAATGCTTCTTTTCTTAAGCTCTTTCATAATGCCTTTGCACAGATTTGCCTTTCAATAGAGGTTGCAGTGTCAATGACAGTCCATTTGAGCTTATTCTCTGATTGATATGTCAGGCTGGTGTGATGGATGGCATAAGGAAAAGAACTATCTTGGAGATATTTGACTGAGAGCTTTCTTCTGGAAGAGATTTTAGGGAAGGGATTCAGGGCCATGAAGAGCTGGAGAAGTATGTGAGGGTTTGTCCCAAGTGCTGAGCTCTTGCTGGGCTCTATGAACTTGTGTCCTCAGGAGAGAACCTATGGACACAGAAACTGCAAACAGAACATAGAGCAGCAGTTTTCGTTGAGGATCTTATAAAATGCAAGCACTGCTTCTTTGGGCCAATGTTACAAAGTTTGAGAGGAATAGAAAAAAACAAAGAGTATTCTTATCACATGGAGCACAGTACTGCTTTGAGATTGAGATTCTCAGGGGTCACATGCCCTATTTTAATAGGAACATTGAGCATAAGGTGGAAGCAGTGGTCAGAGGCAGTGGATATGACTATGACAATGCACCATCAAAAGTAGCTTCTTAGGCCAGGGAGGTTCATAAGGAAAACTTGAGCAAAAGAACACAGGGAAGTAGTAAAAACATAGAAAAACTGTCAAATTATATGAGTACAGTATAGTGTTCATATGGGAAAAGTAGGGTAAAATAGCACCAGAATAAAAATCACTTTACATACTTTTCTAAGATACTTGATGGCACTTCTTTGTTGGAATTGAAGAGAGGCTTTCAAATAAATATTTGCATTTTAGTAACAACTGTCAGATTAAACTATATTAGAATCAGTCACAGCATGGGGGAGAAAGAACATTTAGCAGGTTATTTTAACAATTCTGACAAGACATAATGAGGGTCTAAAAATAGATCAACATTAGGAAGATTTGAATTTCAAAGAGAGAGGTTTGTATTTTTCAACCTGTTTACCATCAACTTTTGGGGATTTTATGGAGTGATATATGAATTAAGCATTATATGAAAATTGGATAAACAAGACATCCTGCCTATGTAGACACACATAGACACATACACACACACACACACAGAGGAGTTTTTAATCTTTAAATATTTGTTTAGTGATAAACTGAAAATCACTTTAAAACGTTAGCGATTCACAGTAGTTTTTATTAATATTATTGATTAATGAATAATAAAAGTTACTTTCTAACTGAAGTCCATCAAATAATTGAGGATAATAAAGATTACATTCTTAAAATTAATCTGTGAGTCTAAAAGAAGCCAAAATAAATAAAAAAGCACTATAAAAAGACATATGAGGAAAATATGTATCTTGTTGGCCCTTCTTCCCATCTTAGAATAGCCCAGCCTCCTCCAGCATCTCCTCATTCCATCCTCTGCTTTCTGTGCCCCAGCTCAGGCCAGCACCAGCTCCATGGCCCAGAGCTCATGCACTGACAATCAGTTTCAGGTATCGCAAGAACTGCTTCCTAGAGTTAAGTTCACAACATTATCTACTAACTTCTTAATAGTGAGCATTTCATGCTTTGGAATAGAACATATTTGGGCATACCTAGATTTCTAAGAATTCATGAGATTGACCATTTCTCTATGGGTATTGCCAATTTGATTAACCAGAGCTCTAAATATTTTTATCTGATGTTGCAACTGTTTTAAGAGCTCTTTCTATATATGTAAAAAATGATAATTATAAGCCAAAGCCCTTTGTATTAATGAGATAAATATATTCAAGATTGAATTAGGAAATATTGTATCTGATTAAACTCTAAGAAACATTTAGGAGTAAGTGAGGATTTTTCAAGATTCTGATGCTCTTTAATCTTAGGCTGATAGGGAGAAGATCTAGTGACATTTGATTTGCTTCTTTCTTTGTTTTTCTTTTGAGACAGGGTCATACTCTATCACCTAGATTGTCACAATTACAGATCTCTTCAGCCTCGACCTCCTGGGCTCAATAGATTCTCCCACCTCAGTCTCCTGAGTAGCTGGGACTATGCCACCACACCCAGTTAACGTTTTAATTTTTTGTAGATACAGAGCCTCACTGTGTTGCCCAGGCTGGTCTGGAGCTCTTGGGCTCAAATAATCCTCCTGCCTCACCCTCCCAAAGTACTGGGTTTACAAGTGTGAGCCACTGTGCCCAGCTGATTTGATTCTTTTGATACAATCTAATTATACCTAGGCACGGTGACCCACAGGTCACATCTCTAACACAAACTAATTTTCATTAGGAAATGTTTCACTAAAGTATCTTCACAAATCGAATGTGATTTGTTTAAAAGACCATAAGCAAACATATCCAGTGGGAAATAATGTCCCACACCACAGGATTTTATCCACCTACCATCCTGAGAATGAGTTACCCATTGTGTGTCTGCCTTGTTTTCATGTCTGTAAAATAAATATAATGAGATTGACCTCAATTTATTTCATTTACATAACCAGCAAATACCATATAAGAATATTGTTATTGACACAGGATTCTATTGGTGCCAGAAATTTCCATGGCTGTTGGTGTCTTGCTCAGCTTCGGGCTCACTGACAGTTTTCCTCCACCCACTCTGCCCAGCTGGCTGCACTCAGCTCGCACTACCAGCCTGCATTCCCGCCCACTGTGGGTCTGCACTCAGCCTGCAGCTGGTCCAGGCACGCCACGACCATCCTCCACCTTAGGCATTAACATCTAGATGAGGGGAACGGGATGGCGCCCAAAAACTCAGAAATGCCAGCAACCACAGAGCTCCAAGGGGTGTTAGGCTCTCACCCAGGGAGCCCCAAAGTCTGAGCCTTCAAGGACTGTTACAGCTCTCTCTCCTTCTTGCCGCCCACAGCATGGCAAATGGGGGGCCATGTTTCAGTTTCTTCGTGTTACAGCTCATTTAGTTCTGCCGTCCAGCTCTAGCCTGCAGCTCCTGGGCTGGCTTGGCCCTGCTGCTGCCACTTCCCATTACATAGGGCAGCTGCCTGGCACCAGCAAAGGGCAGGAGGGTTACAGTGTTACAGTTCTGGCTCAGGAATCCCAAGATCTGGGCCCCCAGAAGGGTCACCACTCTTCACTCCCATAGTCCAGTGAATGGGAACATGACACCACCTGCAGCCTGGCAAGCCAGCCAGGAACACGTTACAGATCTTTTCACCCCCGCTGTTCATTGGGCTCCAGGTTCTTGTCCCACAACCAAGAAGAATGAGGTTAAGCGGACACCAGAGAGTGAGCAAGGCAGGGAAGGATTTTATTGAGTGAGTGAAGGAAAGCTCTCTACGGAGAGGGGACCTGAGAGCAGGTGGGCCTCTGTGTGAGATGGGGCCTTGGAGTGGTAGTCCAACATATGGCTGACTTCAGGTTTTTTATAGGCTCGGAATGGGGGAGTGTGTGCTGATTAGTCATTGGCAGGCCTGGACAAAGCGCTGTTTCATTGCTGAAAAAGGCATAGAGGAAGTTCTCACTTTGGTCATGGACTTTACCAGGAACTGGCAGCCTGGTTTTCAGTCTTCAGGATATCTTTGGCTTGAAGGACCCACCCCTGTCTGCCTTAGGAATTTGTCTGACTCTTGCCACTATCGATATTAGGCTTTTATGCTACTTGGATGAAAGTTGTTTCATGAATCTGGTAATTATATTTATTTATATATTGTTATAGTATTTAATTCACATCAATGCACATATTCAGCATTTTCTCTCATTCATTCATTCATTTATTCGTAATTTTGGCTGCCTAATTGTTAAGCACTACACTTAATCAAAATCAGATTTTTTATACTAATTATCTCTTCATTTGATATTGTCTTTTTAATAGGAAATAAAAAGTAAGTTCAAAATAAGACTGCAGCCTCCTTACAACATATTCTTTGAAAACTTGAAAATCCTCTTAGATTAATACAATCTGTTTATTAACATCTGTTTACTAACATGACCCAAGTCCTTAAACAGTGCTTTCATTTTTCTTTTGTTAAATATTTAATATTTTAGAATCCAAAATAAGCTACCAAAAGCTAACAAGTTAATTTTCTATAAAATTTAATACTGTTTTCAAATTGATGTTACTTGACATTTTTATAATGAACAATACATTAAACAGATATCTTTAAAATTAATGTTTAATTAAAAATTGATTTTATGTATGATTTCCACGTGAGATTTTAAATAATTTACATATTTACTTATGTAGGTAGGTAACAAATTCAAAGTATTGACAATTAGCAGCTATTAAATATTCAATATATTTTGATTTTCTAAATGCATTGAATACATTAGTGTGGGTCAAAAAATATGAAGTAAAGGCAAAATTAATTTAAAGCATATATCTAAGTACAAAGAGAAAATTAGTAAATAGAAAATACATGTACTGAATTATTTGATGTGAATAAAATATTCAAATCAAAATTAAAACTAGTTTAACTCCTGATGTAACAGTAAACTAACACAGGCTGCCCATTTTATTGACTCTAGAAATTATAGAAAAGAGATAGTTACCTGCAAAACCATTAGTGAAATAAAAATATGTCAATATGTAATGAAGGCAGTAGCAGCATCTCCATTTAAGAGGTGTTTAATTGGGAAGTGAAGATCACTGATATAACCTTTCAGTTATTCTATTTATCTACAAATATTTTGAAGGAGATAAACATTCTGTTCTAGACCTTGTTTTTTTCTTTTTTTCTTTTATTAAATAGCATTTTTCTCTGGCTTATTATTTATGTAGTTTCTTGGTACTTTTCTATTGTTTGTGGGAAGGTGTACATACTGTGCAGCTAAATAAATATGCACAAAGCGAACACTTTCATGTAAACAATACTGTGATCTAAATACACAGGATGAGAATGTATAATGAATGTTTATAAATCAGTAAGAAAACACAGGTAATAAGGTAGTGTCTATGTGTAGTTCTCATTATATTTTTGTGCATGGATTTGTAGAGCTTCTGAAATCTGAGCATTAATATCTTTCTTCCATTTGGATAATTCTGAGTTATTGTCTACATGAATTTTTTTACATTATCTTTCACTTCTTTTCTCTCTTTATTACCCCATTTTATCTCTCTCTCTCTGTGTCTCTCTCTCTTTCTCTCTCTCTCTCACACACATTTTCTTAATTTTTCTTTCTCTTTGAACTTATCTTCCATTTCATTTATCGTGTTTCCTGCTGAAGCTAAATAGCTATTAAATCCACAAAGACATTTCACTATTTTAATTAGTGTGTTATATGTAAAATTTACATTTAGTTTATCACTTTAGAGGAGTTTGCTATATTTCATCTGTGAAAACCCATTCCTCATTTTTTGAGTTATTATGAAATAGTCCAGGAAGGAAGAACTATACTAAATACTTTGCTGTAGCATCTCTAAAAGAACTACAAAGAACTCTGACAGCCATCAGACATCTAAAAAAGAAACTGAGTTTATGGAGGCAGTAGCACCAATTATAAAGAGGAAAATTGTCAGTAAAGCCCTATTTTGAACAAATTTTATTGTTTAAACAGCTGGCTCTGAAGTAACTCTGAAAGAGCAATAACAGTCTCTTAGTAAAGCTGTAAAACTGAAAAGCAATTACACCCCAGCCATAATGCCAAATAGTCCTATTAGTGGTTCTATCCAGCCTCTAAGGACCCTGGGTTTGCCTATGTCAGGCACAGTTCAGAGAGTTGAGAACATAAAAGAAGAAAATGTTCTCTTTACTTCTTCACAAATAAACTCACAGAAGCAGAGAACATGGAATTTAATCAGGCGAATTTGGCTGGTGAAACTTTCAGGAAGATGACCTAAAATATATCACACAATCTCCATTAACTGAGAGAAAAATTGAGGTTCCACTAATGAAGAATATTTTAAAAATATTTTTAAAACACTAGTTTTTAAGTAACTACTCCATGAACCGAATTGTATGCCTCCACATCCCAATTCATATGTTGAAGCTCTAACCCATAATTTGACTGTATAAGGAGATAGGGCTTTTAGGAGGTAATTAGAGTCATAAGGTTACGTCCTAATCCAATTGGATTGGTGGAAGATGAAGAGAAAGAGATTTCTCCTTCTCTCTCCACCACTTGGGAACATAGCGAGAAGGCAGCCATCTGCAAACCAGGAAGAGAGAGCCCTTTCCAGGAACAGAATCAGTTAATACCTTGACCTCAGACTTCCAGCATCCAGACTGCAAGAATAAAAATTTCTTTTGTTCATGCCACACAATCTGTGCTATTATGTTATGGCAGCTGGGGCTGACTAATTCGAGCTCTATTTATTGAGTTTTTGGCATTTCTCTAAGTGCATTATGGCCATTATCTCACTTTACTCCACACTAATGGTAAAAAGTAAGTATTTTTCCTCCATTGTTAACAATAAAGAAATTGATGGTCTGAGAAATAACAAGTCTTGAATTACTCACACGTTTGTTTGGCTCCAGGGATCCTTCAACATCACATGAACAATCCTCTATCAAATGAAAGACATTGAAAGGAAAAGAGGATATATGGCTCCCTGGCTGGGAAACTTGAGGGCTTAGAGTGGGCCCCATATTCAAATAAGTATTTTTCCTTATTGTTTAGATGCTTTGCATGACATGATCTTCATTCCTGACAAATTGCTCTTTTAATACAAATATAAAAGCCTATATGGGCCAGTCACGGTGGCTGACACTTGTAATCCCAGCACTTTGGGAGGCCAAGGTGGGTGATCACTTGAGGCCAAGAGTTGGAGACTCTTGGCAACATGGTGAAACCATATCTCTACCAAAAATACAAAAATTAGCCAGGTCTCATAACCCAGTCTCACAACAAATGAAAAATAATACAGAAATAGATTAAAATTTAAAAATAAAATTTAAGAAATATTAAAGCCTCTCTCTCTCTCTATGTGTGTGTGTGTATATATATATATATATATATATATATATATATGTATATATAAAACAATTCAATCATCAAGCTACAAAAGTTAATCTGAATACCCCAAATTGTAGTATTTTTAAATGAACTGTAAATTTAAGCGTGGACAAAGATAGTATTTCATTTTTATTTGTAGAATACGTAATCTCCATTTTAGTGTTTTGACTTCTCTTTTTCTAATGTTTTCAGCATAATAAAGAAAAGAATTGGGTTTATTTTTGCTGACTGCCTCTAGAAGACATCAAAATAGATAATGGACATCTTAGCTGGTGTTTACTATTACTATTTGAAGGATGTCCTACCTGCCTCTAAAAATCTGTTATTAATTTATGAATTATCTAAAGTTGGCATACACACTGTCTTAAAATCTTAACTCCAGCACTTACTATGTAGAGGCCTGGGCAAATTTACTTATAAAGAATAATATAATTTTTAAATGACATATAAAAATACCTTAGTATAGTGTTTAGTTTGTAACTATGTCTTAGACTTTCTGAAATCACAGTGCCTATACTGTGTTGGAAGAATATACTAGGCTTAATTCTTTCAAGAAACTCAATATAGTAAGGCTACAACTGATGCAATTAGAGATTCTACAATCATCTCATCAAACTAATTAGGACACCTATTTTGGTGTATCTTAAAGAGCTACCAAGTCTGTTTATCCAGCTTAGATTTAAAAAGGTCTAGATTTTGCAAAATACACAGTTAAAAGATACAGCTATAATTGATTTGTTATTGAGTGGTTAGAGGAATTCATTTAAATGAAAAAGATATGGACTTAATTTTTCTATGTAACTATTGAACAAAATCCATGACAGTGAACGTGTTCCTGATCAGTTTTACTCCTTTTGCTCAAGATGCTCACTTGAGGACACCACTGTCCCAGAGAGTAACTCTTTGCTCTTTCCTTTGTGAGGTTATAGACACAAATGAATATGCATGCCCATAGCTGCTTCTTTCTATAGCAGCATATATGAAAATAGAATATTAGTGCTTGTGCAAGATACTCGAGTTAAATGAAAACACTCCACAGGAAAAATAAACCATTTTGACAATTTAAAATTTGTAGTTTTTAAAAGCAACAAAATTGCCAAAAGTAAGGAGTGTTTATTAATTACAGAAACATAAACTTTTAATGACATCTCATTGATACCTATTTAATTGTTCCTGTATCCAGAGGATGTCTCTGGGAGTATGCCTCCATTTTCAATAGAAAAAAGTTCTTTGTGAACGCTATCAAAATCAATTACAGTTTGTCCACTTCAGGGGGCCAATGAGGCAGAGAATTAACCTCCAACTAATTTCCAAAGTCACTTACCAGCTGATGGCTTAGAACATTTACTGCCGCAGGCACCATGAGCTTTGGAACATTTGCAAAATTCATGCTATAGGTTGCAGGAAACGTATCCTCTGGGTCATGACAAACCCATGAGCTACATATATTTATTTTAGACTCATAAAATCCTCTGAGGTTCAGACAATGCACCTTTAGTATTAATTTATATTTAATACAAATTTAATATTATTATTAAATAAATGCTTAAAATCAACAAGAAATCCTGTGCTCTCTAATGCAAAATAAAAATCTTCCAGTCACTTAGTTAAATTATTCTAAAGGACACAATAAAACTGGAGGATTAATATGAGTTTATATGAATGTTATGTTTAACTCCTTTTATAAGAAGCAGGAACTACCTCCAGGCATTATGACATTTACAGCTGATGAAATCTATTAATGTAATCTGTATCTCCAGGCAAAAAATAATTATTGTGACTTAATAGATTCTGTTGTCTAATTATCTCCTAAGTTTTAAGTTATTGAAATAGATATTACAAATATATTAACTCTCCACGGGCATACTTTTTAATTGTTTAAAGATTTAGTCACAATTTAATCATTTTACATTTTTACAGCGATAACTCTTTATATCGTCTGAGAGTCTGATTTGAACATTACTCTAAAGTTTGGAAAATCTTGTATCTTCTATTTAAGTGTATAAATGTATTACTGAAAGTGGGTAATATATATTGCTTTACATGAAAAAAATTAACCGTATGAAATTGGCTAGGAAGAAAATTTCTCCAAAGATGTCAGGATTGCCGGATAAGAAAATGTAACAGTGTGCTCAGTATCAACATGTCTAAAAAAATCCTCCTTATGCATTCTGCCAGACAGGTTGATCTACAACAGCCTCTGAAAAAGACAACCTAGAAAAGATGCAGTGTGAAAGAAAATTGATATTGGGTTAGGGGAAAAAGAACAAACAAAGCATTTTGGGGGCTATGTTCAGATCAACATTTCCAATACGGAGTGATTAAATGAAACTTTAAATATCTGAGTTCATGTCCTTTGCAGGGACATGGATGAAGCTGGAAACCATCATTCTCAGCAAACTAACACGAGAACAGAAAACCAATCACCGCATGTTCTCACTCATAAGTGGGAGTGAACAATGAGAACACATGGACACAGGGAGGGGAACATCACACACCAGGGCCTGTTGGGGAGTGGAGGGCTGGGGAGGGATAGCATTAGGAGAAATACCTAATGTAGATGATGGGTTGATGGGTGCAGCAAACCACCATGGCACATGTATACCTATGTAACAAACCTGCATGTTCTGCACATGTATCCCAGCACTTAAAGTATAATTAAAAAAAGACATCAAACATGAAAAAAAATGTGAATTTTCAAAACACTGAAGATAATAATCTTTCATTTGTTTTTCAGCTATAGAGTTTAATCAGATACAATATTTCCTAATTCAATCTTGAATATATTTATCTCATTAATACAAAGGGCTTTGGCTTATAATTATCATGTTTTACATATATAGAAAGAGCTCTTAAAACAGTTGCAACATCAGATAAAAATATTCAGAGCTCTGGTTAATCAAATTGGCAATACCCACAGAGAAATGGTCAATCTCAGGAATTCTTGGAAATCTATGTATCCCCAAATATATTCTATTCCAAAGCATGAAATGCTCACTATTAAGAGGTTAGTAGATAATGTTGTGAACTTAACTCTAGGAAGCAGTTCTTGCGATACCTGAAACTGATTGTCAGTGCATGAGCTCTGGGCCATGGAGCTGGTGCTGGCCTGAGCTGGGGCACAGAAAGCAGAGGATGGAATGAGGAGATGCTGGAGGAGGCTGGGCTATTCTAAGATGGGAAGAAGGGCCAACAAGATACATATTTTCCTCATATGTCTTTTTATAGTGCTTTTTGATTTATTTTGGCTTCTTTTAGACCCACAGATTAATTTTAATAATGTAATCTTTATTATCACAAAAATAATACTATGTTATCCACCAAGAAGAATTTATTATATTCCAGACATTGTGCTAAGCGTTAGTCTTAGGATGTCTTTAATAAAAAAGCACTTTTGAAGATTTTGATATAGTGGTCTTCTCAAACCATGGTAGCTAGCAGCTTCCCAGAAGAATCTACATATAAACTAGAATACAAAATTTCCTTATTTTTTTCATATAGACAGGAGATATCAAAAGAAATTCTAGCTTTTAATGGGCTTCTTTTTCCCATGCCTCTCCCTAATGTCACATCAATACAGGCCCTTAGCCTCCAGCTAGTTGACTACTTTATAAAATAGTTGAGAATAATTATCAAGGGAATCAAAAGTACAAAAAGATTTAATTAACAGATTTTAAGAGGGAATTGACCATGCAGTATTTCAAATGTGTTATGTCCTCTTATGTGAAACTTGTGCCCTCATACAATGATTGCATATTATAAATTATATACATATACAACCACACACGCATAATCACTTAATGATTACAGAATTCTAAATATATCAAGCATTTCCTAGCTTATCCAAATCCCTTCTATTTGACAGTAGTATCATCAGCAACTTAAATCCTGCAAGTGAAGCAGATGGCATGAATAAACTGCTTGTACCAACATACAGTAAGTGCTAAAGGTTAATTGAACTGTCTCATCATGAATCATATATATTTTCTTCAGTTTAGCAAAATTTAGAAGAAAATGATGTTTTCCCATAGCGTAATTAGTGATGACATTAATTATAATCACAACAGTTCTAGCACTACTAAAGATAAACCATGAAACCATTAATATATAAAAAATAAAATGTTTTGACCCCTTAAAGGAATGTGTTATGTTCATGGTATTGCAAATGGCTTTCAACTGTGCTTTAAGAATTGAAGCATCACCTAACACAGAGATGATGCTCTTCCAGGGTCAGTGTCCGCTGCAAAAGCCAACGAAGAGTACAGAACCCTGATGGTTTCTCAAAAACACTTTCCCAGAATAGTATAATTTCAAAATGGCACTAAAGAACTAGTAATATTGTTGCCTGGCTCTGGTTCCCAAACAAATGAAAATAGTTTTGGGACTCAATACAAGGTCATAGATTTCAACTCTACAATCAGGTATCTCAACTGCCACTTATTTTTTACTATTTTGAAGTTGTTTCTCCAAGGGAACATAATATAAAATAAAAGTTTTTCTCTTCTTATTTTTCCTTTCATATGTCATTTTAATAATTTATTTCAGATTTTTAAAATTAGCTAACTGTAAAACTTATATTTGGGGTTAAGATTTGAAGGGTGTATAATATTTGGGGTTTCTGTGTGTGCAAGTGGCTGCACACACATGCACCTGTCATTCTTAGGCTCATTATGAGCAGGGTCCTTGCCTTAAATACATTTATATCTCCACCATCTAGTATAAGTGCCAGAATATAGCAGGTGGCTCAAATAATTTTAAAGAAATAAATTAAGACTTTAAGTTATTGAAACTTAAGGTCAACAGAAATAGTTGGCATTTCTGTAGTCATCCCTAGCTAGGTCATATGTGGAAGTTTTCTCTTTGTGTTTTCATTAACTCACCAGGAGTGTGTCCATCTTTAATACTATTAACCAACATTATATGGCTGGCCAATTTTTTTCTTAATCCATGTTGTGAAACACCACCAATAATACACACGGAAGTGTTAGGCATATGAGCCACATCGTACTTCTCATCTCTGAAGTTTTATTCACAGACACCATGTAACTGGTCCTGATATGTATGATGCCAATGTCAAAGTACAAAGAAGGAACATCAAATAAGAACTCCCCGTAGGAAAATACTCCCTTGATATAGCATCTATAGATTTTTTAAACTGTCTTTGAACACAATTTTAGGTATTAGCTCAAGTAATTTAACCCTTCATTATATAAAATAAATCTAAAATTATTTTTATTAAAACACCTGTCATGTTTCATAAGCTATTTTCTAGCTTAATTTGGGGGACATATGTAAAATCTGTGTTCTAACTCAAATTAGAAAAAGGACTAATGTTATGTTCTTAGTAATGAATAACATGTTTTCTTCAGGAGATTTCAGTGTTTTTTATGCTTAATTTCATGTTGGATATTAATGATGTAGTCACAACTGAACACTCAGCAGCACTGAGTGAGGCTCTACTTCCAGTACCGCAAATAATAAAATTTCTCTTTCTGACTCCAATTTCTTATTCTTATAGGCTTTGGACATAGGGCAGATGAGGGTTAAAATCCTGACTATCATGTACATCATAAGTTTAGACAAGTTATTGAATTTCTCTGAGGCTCTATTACAATGAGGATAATTTATTCCTAATTTTGTAAAAGTTAGAAAAGAGCATGTGTAAAACGGCCTTCCAAATAGACAACACTCAACAAATGCTTTTGTGTATCTTTCAGAACTGTCTGTTAACCTCAATTATTACAATTAATTATTTCTTATTGTTCTTCTCTCCCTGATCACCTTACATTGTCTGTACCCCATAGTCAATCATTTCAGCTTTGTTTGCATTTTAGATTTAATTTTTAAAAACTACTCCTTTTGGTATCATCTTTTGTCAACCTATATTCTCTCAGCCATCTTTTTAGTTTTTAAAATTGTACCTATTTCTGGAACACTCAGCACAGCCAGAGGAAATCACATATAAGCATGTTAATCAAATTCATTATTCACAACTTTTCCAAAATCAAGGTTCATATTTCAGAACTGCTGATAGATACTGCATTAATGCCTTGAATGAACCTCAGACTTAAACAGTGTCCTAATCAAATCTTATTATTTTCTTCTTCAAATTTGCTGTCTTTCTTTTAGTGTTCAAGCTTAAATAACTGAACTCACTTTTTACTGCTCTCATGGGTGATCTTGAGCAGTTCAACTACTGCTGAAGTTATCATTCTAAAACAAAAATCTTTTTTTAATTTATTATATGGCTTACAGATTTTGATGGCACACCTATGATTGCAGAACAGTGCTTAAATCCCTCTTGAATTTGGCTTCTAAAGTTTTTCCCAGATTTTCTTGAACCACACTTCATGTACTTTTTGGTCCAGCCAACACTATTTTGCTTAACACGCCATGTGAGTTTTCTTTTTTTTTTTTGGCGGGGGGGGCGTGGGTGGGGGACAGAGTTTAGCCCTTGTTGCCCAGGCTGGAGTGCAATGGCGCGATCTCGGCCCACCGCAACCTCCGCCTCCCAGGTTCAAGCGATTCTCCTGCCTCAGCTTCTCGAGTAGCTGGGATTACAGGCACCCGCCACCACACCCAGCTATTTTTGTATTTTTAGTAGAGACGGGGTTTCACCATGTTGGTCACGCTGGTCTTGAACTCCCAACCTCAGGTGATTCACCCACCTCGGCCTCCCAAAGTGCTGGGATTACAGGCGTGAACCACCACGCCCGGCCGCCATGTCACTTTTCTTTAATCTATTTCCTCAAAGTGGAATTCTCTTCTGCTCATTTTCTTCATTCCCTTGCATTTTTCTCATAGTAATCTTTCAATTCACAACCAGTATATCACCTCTCCCCATCCGTGCTTTCTTCATCCACCAAATATCTACCTGAGTGTTTGCTAACAGTCACATGGAACTTGAGCACCATCAAAGTTGAAAAAGTTATGTCCCTGCTCTCCAAAACTTTATATTGTACTTAGAAAATAGATATGCAAATAATCAACTGAGAAAGAAGAGTTAATATTATATTATAAAATGATTGCTTTAATTGAATGTAAAAAATAAAATCAGGAGGGCTTTCTAATTAGTACTCTGAATTTTTTACTTCAGGAATCCTTTGACTTTTATATAGATACTTTCCTGAAATAAAAAGCACCTTGATGCAAGAGTTTTTTTTTTTTTTCTGGTCTTCAATCAAACCCAGTACTGTTACAGGTAATATATTTGGCAAGTTCATTGGTGGGGACAAGATAATATAGATCAGACCTGAAGAATCTGCAATTGAAAGAATTTCTTTTAAATCATTTTGTTATTTCAAATACATATCTTATATATCCCACAGGAAAGAATATTTGTTGCAACCTAAACGTATATTCTTCTAAAAGGAGCCTACACTGATAGTTTAAGTTAGAATAAATGTCTCTTTCCCCCATACCACAGCAATTTACTATGTTATAACAATGAATCTTTTTCCCTCTCTCTACTGTAAACTCTTAATGGAATGACTCTGCTGTCATCATGCCATTGGAACAGCTTTTTTCAGGGTTGCCAGTAACACGTCTCTGTCTCCATCTCATTTTATCCCTCGAAAGACCTCATACTGTGAACTACTTCGTGTTCCCTGAAGGGCTGTTATTTCTTGTATTTCATGGCATGCTTTTTTTGGGTTTTCCTTTTTCCTCACTAATTTATCACTGTCCCCTTAGCTGGTTTCTTATTTTCTGCCAAACCTTTTAATATTTTGAACTCTTTCCTGCTCTCCATTGTGACCTTTCTTTTCTACTCTCCAATCATTTTCTACCTAGATTATTTAATGCGTTCCCATAGGTTTATATATTACCTTTTGTCCACTGACTCACAATTATCTCTTTCTAATATCCATATTCAAATATGCAATTGCCTTTTGATGCTCCACTTTAATATGCCAAAGAATGGAAAAAAACACAGAATTTTCTGGGCAAAACAAACCTCCTCTCTTACCCTCACAAGTCATCTTTGAGTCCATCCACGAAGATTTTTCTGCCTGATACTTAAAAATTCCCTTGCTTCCTTCAATTTTCTTTTTCTTTCAACCACTCCTTGATACTACCCTCTTCTCTTTACTTCCACTGCCATCATTTTAATTCTGTCTTTATTATTTTGGGCTTCAATTATTATAAGTGACTCTTAACAGATCTCTGTTTTTCCATTCTTGCCTAAATTCAATCAATTCTTCACATAACAGAAAAAAATATTTCTCTTAACATAAAATAGATCACATCTCTACCTATCAAATACCCTCTAATGCCTTCTAAAAGCACCCAGAGGAAAACAAAACAAAACAAAACAAACAAACAAAAAAACCTCTAAACTCTTTCAGTGGCCTCCAAGGCTCTGAATAATTGGTCTCCTTTCTAGCATTCTAATTATATTCTGTGTTTTCTCATTACATTCTCATCACACTGTGGTTCTTTCAATTAATTAAAAAGCTATGTTCTTTCCCGTTTTGAGCTGTCTGTATATGCTACTCCTTCAACTTGAAGGCTATTGTCCTATGTCAAAGGCGAAATTCCTCTTCATTGAGGTCTCAGTCACTCTTTGCCTGACTGTTCTACTTAATGTTAGTTCATTTCCCTCTTCTACTTCAGCTTCCTCTTTTCTTAGAAACAACAATTTTAATGTATGAGTATTTTACCTGATTTATTCCTATGGCCACAATTAGCACAAAACCAAATAAGAGCAGGCCACTTCCCTGCCCTCTTCATCATGTTCCTTAATACAGTTCTTTGGAACTCGGTAGCAATCTAACCTTGTGGATGAAGAAATAAACAAATACTAGGTGCTCAATAAATATTTGTAAATTGTGTGTGAGTCCTAATTGCATTCCAAGAATGTGGCAGCCATAAAGAGAAGGAAAAATATATTTCGATTGAGGAAAAAATAGAAAATAGAAAATCCATTTGTACATAGAAAATCCATTTATTGTACAATAGTCAGTATATTTCCAAAATACCACTGATGTTTATTTACTGGAAAGAATATTGAATGTTTTATTTGTGATGTATTGCAGCTTTACTACAAGGGTAAGTTTATAACATCAGATGTCAAAAAGTATTTTGTGCCTCAGAATTTCACATATTTTTCAATATTTTTCTCAAGTCTTCTTTCCAATTAAATGAAGATAATATGGAATATCTTGGTAAACAGGAATTTCTATGATTCTGCAATTATTTAAGCAAGTATTAATATGCATACATAGCATAAGTGTGTTAAAAATGTATATATAAATACAAATATAAATACATACATATATATAAATACACATGCATATGTATACATATATATTTAAAACAGTCATTACTAGTTCATTTTGTTACATCTGTATAGCTATGAATATGAACACAATGCACCCTACATTTTCATTATTCCTTTTCTTATGGTATTAACAGTATTCAAGTATAAGAAACAATCAGAAAAAAACAAAAACTCAGTAGAATTTTCTATCAACATGTCTCTCCTCAAAGAGGAAATGGCCAGCTTACCCTGCCACTTGTAACTAACAGTTATTTGTGTGGCCTCAGATTTGCAGCTGAAACAAATCTTAAAAGCAAGCATGCTCTTATGATATAAGCTTTGTAAGTAAACGTTCAGTGCCCTGGAATAATATAATTGCTTGCCTTCAATAAAGTGTTTCAGTATTAATCTAAATACTATTTTTTTTCTTTTACATTTGCTACTATGTGTTTCTTTTAGATTTTTCCTTAGCTGCCTTGGTCAGTGACAAAAATTAGTTTATTTACTTATTTTAGCATTTTATCACCTCTTAATTACTTTAGGTAATAACCTTTTAATTTTAAATGTGTTTTTTTCTTCAAGAAGCATGATTTCTAATCCAAAATCATACTTTAATAATTCAATAATATTTTTATAATGTATAAAATATAAACACATTCATCATGTCATTGCACATATAATTACATTGTAACTGCTAGACCATTAAAATTTGTTTACGCTGATGGAAAATTGTCCTTATTGTTATTGCAATAGCAAATTCACAGAAATTTCAAGAGAGTTCTGAGTTCCCAAACAAATTTAAAACTTTTTTAGAAAGATTTATGTACTACAGATCTTCTTGTATTAAACTATTCATCACTGAAGGTAATTACCCCATTTTTCTTCCAGCTTGTAAGTATTTATCCTCTAGTATTTTATGCTTAATTAAAAAAACTATTTTATTCTATGTAATATTTTACAAAAGGTAAAAGATTACTTGAAATACATATATTTTGAAATAGAGAACCTCAACTGGCCAAAAAAAAAAATCTTTTGGAATGAAGTTCTTCAAGGGATGGGACCTCACAATCATATTTTTTACTAAAATAATACTTCCAATTCTAAAACAATGGAAGAGTTGCATGGGAGTGAATGAAGTCAAAATTCTGAATTTTCAACCTGACGACTTATCACATTTTCATAATAAAATCTTTCTGTTTTGTCACATGGCACACATGTATATTCTGTTAGATATACTTAATATTTATTGAGTTCTTACTGTATGTCAAGAACTTTATATACATTTCATGTAATTCTAACGAACACCCTATACGTAGGTGCTACAGCTGCACACAGTAATCACACGTGAAAACTAAGGTGCAGAGTTTAAAATACATATCAATGATCATTCCAGGATCTAATTTATTCAAGTAGCCCAATTATGTAGATCTATCCTAAGGGAGGAGGAAGGGAGCAACATTGGCTTGGCATCCCTGAAAGTCTGCCTAACTCATCCTCAGGGCAAATATCTATCTCTGCTGTTTTAAGATGCACATACAAAATGACCCCTTTTTAGCTCATAGTTTCATTCAGTTAGTGTTTTTCTTTCTTTGCTTCTGCAAAATTTACCCTGATAGTATTAAAATCTTCTTGCAATCAGCACCATTACAGTTCTTAGACTAGGTTGTTCCTGAGACATAGAGGCAGAACCTAAAGTAAAACACAATTTTGAAGCTAATTATCTACTCTTTATCTACTCTTTTTTTTTTTTTTTTTTTTTGAGATGGAGTCTCGCTCTGTCACCCAGGCTGGAGAGCAGTGGCACAATCTCGGCTCACTGCAACCTCCACCTCCTGGGTTCATGCCATTCTCCTGCCTCAGCCTACCGAGTAGCTAGGACTACAGGTGCCCCCCACCAGGTCTGGATAATTTTTTGTATTTTTTTTTAGTAGACACGGGGTTTCATCGCATTAGCCAGGATGGTCTTGATCTCCTGACCTTGTGATCTGCCCGCCTCGGCCTCCCAAAGTGCTGGGATTACAGGTGTGAGCCACCACGCCCAACTTACTCATTTCTTTTTTAAGTTTGTCTAAGAATATGTTTTCCCAGTTTTCATCAATCTGCATCATTTCTTATTTTTTAAATGCATTTTCTTGTTCACCTAAGTGGCCCCTATAGCAGCTGCTTCTTATACATTCCTGTATTTTTTTTCCTTTTTTAATTTTATTATTATTATACTTTAAGTTTTAGGGTACATGCCAAGATTTAACTTTGGTGACCATTCTCATCAGGGATCCTCTAGTCAATGATCCCTCAGATGATCACATCACTTCGATTTTGTGAGTCCCCTTCTCCTGATAGTGGAGACATGCCCATTTGACTATATTTTGTTTGACATCTAACCCTATCTATTTCCATTCTCACAAATTCCAGTGTCAGTTTTTGTGGTGGTGGTTGTTGTTGTTTGTTTTTCAGAAAACTGCCTTAATATTATTTATGTAAACTGCCTCATCTGCCTAACCAAAATCTGAAAAAAACATTCATTCTCTTTAGAATATTATAGACATAGACATTTAAAAATTGTATGGGAGACCATGACCAAGTATCTTGTTTTGGACTTCTTCTTTACAATGAATAATTTTAAAGTTGGACAAAATATAATGGGCATCTCTACTCATGCACTGGACTAAGGACAGCAAAAGAGACAGTAAAAGTAAAGGTAAACATAAAGGTAGCACCACAGTCACACTAGCTTTTTCCTGGTGGAACTTTCCAGACCACAGCACAGGGAAGGATAAACCAAATATACTGGAAAAACTGAATAGACACATTCAAAAGAATAAAGTGGGACTCATCTCACACTATATATAAAAATTAACTCAAATGCACCAAAGGCCTACATGTAATAACTAAAACTATAAAATCCCTAAAATAAAACATAAGGGTAAATCTCCATAACCTGAAATTTGGCAAAAGATGCTTAGCTATGACAATACAAGCAGGAGCAACAAAAGGAAAACAGATTTTTACTTTATCAAAATTTAAAACCTTCTGGTGCTTGACGGAACACCATGAAGAAAGTGAAAACATAACCCTCAGGAAAGGAGAAAATATTTGTAAATTACATACCTGATGAGGGACTTTTATCTAAAATACATACAGAACTGTGATAACTCAAAAATAAAAAGACAAGGAGGGGCTTCAAGATGGCTGACGAGAGGCAGCTGGTACCCATTTTGGTACACACAAAAAGGAAGCCAAATAGCAAATAGGTAATGGCACCTCAAATAGATCATCTAAGAGAGAACACTGGAATTGAACAGGTAAGTGTCAGGAAATACCTAGAGTAAGAGAGGAGGGGAAAGTAAGAAGCCTGGAGATGGCTTCTCACTGCAAAGAAAGGGTAAGTGACAGACCTACAGTGGTTCGTATTCCACTGTGGACTCTGACAAGTTTAGCCACTGGAGAGTCTCTCAGCCTTCACAGGCCCTGAGAATAACATAAAGAGCTGCCTAAAGACCTTGCAATGGCATTGCTCCAGAAAGGGAGCCCACGCTGGGTCCCACACACACCAGAGTCCTAAGCAACAACAGCAAGGCAATATTCTCTGCTTTAAAAGAAAGAGAACATAATGAATTTATAAACATGAGAAAAAGTGGTCCAAGATTTAATTGTTTTGGAGAGTGGAAAAGGTGATTAAATACAGGACATCTGGTGGGATTCCTACAGGGCATTTATTGGTTCATTTACTTATCCATTTGGCTACATTTACTGAGTTCTTATTGTGTTAATATCATCTCTTCTCTCTTGTTCTCTGATGGACTTTGCTCTTTGTGTCCTTTGAGATTTGCGCCATTGCTTTCTCTCTTTCCCAGTCATTGTTGTCTTCCTTTCTACTGGGTGTTTCCATAGTCATGTTAACATGCATTAGGAAATCCCATTCTATAAAGGATTTTTCCCCTGACTCCACCTCCCACTACAATCTTACCTCATTTTCTCTGCTGCCCATTACAGGCAAATATCTCCAGTTTATAGTATAGCAATCATCCACTATTTTTTAAATAAATAAATTGTTTAAATAATTTTTTAAAGAAGTTTTAAACTACCAAGAGTGCAGTGACTCAAGAAAAGGGCATCAAGATGACTGACTACAGGCATCTGTTACAGAAGAACCAAAGTAGCAAATAGGTAATTACACTTCAAATAGATCATTTATGAGAGAACACTGGAATTCAATAGAGAAGTGACAGAAAACAACTAAATGAAGGATGGAGGAGAGAAGTTTCTGTCCTGCTCCACCAGGATGGGCTGGGAGCCTGGAGAGGGTCTCCAATGCAGGAAAAGGGTAAGTGAGAGTCCCCCAGTGGTCCACATTCCCACCATGGACTTTGGAAATGACAGGAGAGCCCCTCAACCCTGGTGGGCCCTGAGACTAACATAGGAAGCTTCCTGGAGACTGTATGATGGCATTGCTCCAGAGAGGGAGATCACGCTGAGTCCCACACACCCCAAGTCTTAAGCAGCTACAGCAAGGTGCCATTTTGAGAGCCCAGACCACACCAGACTGCATTTTGTGCTGGGGCCTAACAGCCTCTGTATCTTCACCTTCCTGGAGCCACACTGACAGCCCCTACCTGCAGCCACCACCACAGTTGGCTGCTGCTGTCAGGGCTGACGCACAGGCAGTGACCTCACTGCCTCCAGCAGAAGAACAGTCTCCACCTACAACAGCCAGCACCTGCACGCACCACCCAGGAGCCTGAGGTCAGGTCTGCCTGGTTCAGCTCCATGCCCACTGGTACCTTAGTATGCTGTCTGGGGGCCAGGAGATCACCCAGCCACATACACTACCATTGGCACCCAAGCAGCCCTCGCAAGGGGCCTAAGGGCAGGCCTATCCAACCTGCTACTCCCATCACAGCTGGAACCCACCTGCACATGCCACCTGTGTGCCTGGGGACTGGCCCATCCAGCCCATCACAGCTGTCACCAACACCAGCACAGACCACTTGGGAGTCAGATGGTTGTCCCACCACTGCTACTGCCATTCCTCACTCCACCCGCTGCCCAGTAACTGGAAGACCTGCCCACTCAAAGCCCCTGAGCAAATCACCTGGAGACCCAAGAATGAACCCACCTGGACCCAGGATCTGAGCATGTCAGAGATATTACTGCAGGTATATTTCTAGGAGACACTGTACCTGTTTTATGGGAGATTTTGTCTTAAGAATATATCAAAATGTGTTTATAAGAGCATGCCATCAACATCTACCTAGGTTCCTTCTTTCTATCTTTTGCAGGAGTCAGATCTCCACTGTGGTTTGATGCCTCTTTGGTTGGCTTCCCAGTTTCTTTAGTGGCATTCCCTAGTCAACCTTTGCATATCTAATCTCATCTTGGTCTCTGCTTCTCAAGGACCTGAACTAAAGCATATAGGAGTCTTGGTGAAGCAATGAAAATGTGAAAAAATGATTGACTCAAAATTATGCAAATTCAAAGTATAACATATAAAATTTAGAAAAAATACTGGATGCCCAGGCAACAGAATGGGTACTACAGAAGAAAGATTCCATGTACTTCTTCAGAAAATATCAATGGAAAGAATTCAAATTGAAAAACAAACAAAATAAATAAATAAAAAGATTAAAGAAAATAAATTGAACTTTAGTGCCCTGTGGAATAATATCATACAAACTAACATATAGATAATTAGAGACTAGAAGGAGACTAGATTGAGAATAGAATATAAAAGTATATTTTAAAAAATGATAAAATTTTCTTCTAATTTGATGAAGAACATCAGTCTAGAGATAAAAATAAATCTTAATAAAACCTTAGTATAATATATAAAAGAAAAACCACACCTAACCATATAATAGTTAAAGTATTAAACACAAAAAAAGGAAAAATTTTAAAGCAACCTAAGAAATAAAACTATACATTGAGGAACAATGAAAGAATTATGATCTGTCTACAATAGAAACAATGAGGGTCCGAGGACAATATAATGCTCTATTTAAAATGGTTTTTGAAATGTCAATGCAGATTTTACATCCAATAAATAAGTTCTTCAAAAATAAGTTTATTTAAATAAATTATCTGATAAAAGCTGAGATAATTAGTGATATGGTTTGGCTGTGTCCCCACCCAAATCTCATCTTGAATTTTAGCTCCCATAATTCCGATGTGTCATGGGAGGGACCTGGTGGTCAGTAATTGAATCATGGGGGTGGGTCTTTCCCATGTTGTTCTTGTGATAGTGAGTAAGTCCCACAAGATCTGATGGTTTTATAAAGGAGAGTTCACCTGCACATGCTCTCTTGCCTGCCACCATGTAAGATATCCCTTTGCTCTTCCTTCATCTTTTTCCATGATTGTGAGGCCGCCCCAGCCATGTGGAACTGTGAGTCAATTAAATCTCTTTCTTTTATAAATTACCCAGCCTCAGGTATGTCTTTATTGTCTTTATTAGCAGCATGAGAACAGACTAATACAATTAGCCACCAGCAGAGCTAAACAACACACACAAGTCAAAGTTGAAGAAAATATTATATGAAAACTCAAAATAGATTGAAGAGCTTCAGAAGTTGTATTTATTTTTTAGTTTTTAAAAAATTAAGAGGACAGTTTGAGCCCAGGTGTTTGAGACCAGCCTAGGCAACATAATGAGACCCTATTTCTACAAAAAAAATAAAAATAAATATTATCTGGGCATGGTGGCACACACTGTGGTCTCGGCTACTCAGGGGGTGGGAGGATGACTTGAGCCTGGGAGGTTGAGGCTGCAGTGAGCTGTGATCATAACATGGTACTCCAGCCTAGGTGACAGAGTGAAACCCTGTCTCAAAACAAAAGAAAACAAAACAAGGTGACTATAAATAGAATGTCGTAAGTTGTGGATGCATTCTATAATTCTTAGAGCACTAATAATAGTACAAAGAAGTGCAGCTAAGATGTGAATAGAAGAAAGTTAATGGGTTATTTAAAATATTTGAAACATGAAAGAGAAAGCAGGAAATAAGAAAGAGAATACAAAGAAACAAATTTATATTCAAAAGGAAATCTTAAAACATTTTATGAGTAATTTGAAAGATAATTCTGTTGGCTATTTGATAAAATTATCTAATTATTGTAGGCAATAAGATTAGAATCAATATGGGAGTTGGAGTCATCAGACTTGATATTTTTTATCCAAGTGCCCCTTCCCACAAAGTGCTCAAATTCCAATGGTGGGCAGTATGATGATGATGACAATAATGACTATGCAACATAAAAGAATATCTTTGCACACCCAAAAATTATCATCTCTTTCAGGCCAAGCTCAGTGCATCTGATTTTTCCTGATTACCAAGAGTGACGATGTGAGTCATCCAAATTTTGTTTTTTTTTTTCTTCCTCATAGGCATCTTTATACAAACTACCAAAACTGAATTATGCATACATGCTGCATATTATTCAAGAGTAGGAGAATTGCATCTAAAGTTCACTTCATAAAAGTAAATTTCCTTAGGCATTATTCTGAGCATTGGAAAGGCAGAAAAGTATTTCAGACAGGGTATTTTCATGACAATTCCACAGCATGAGAATACATTGCTTCCTAGCAATACTATATCTCATTATCCAGAATTATTTAGAAGAGCAAGAGATAAGAAGTTTGGGAAGTCAGAAGCTATGTCTACTTAGTGTAAACATGAAGGAAAAATGCACATGATGGCAAAGAACAATTTTCAGGACAATATTAAAAACACCTAGCTTGAAACAGAGCTGAAACATTTCCAGAATTTACTATTATACTATAATCTTAAATTTCTACAAGTCGAAGTAAACAAAAAATATTTATTTATTTAAACAAAAATATACAGACATTAGTAAACCTACAGCTTATTCTAGAGTCATGTACAAAGAGGAAAATGTGTATTTCCTTGAATCATTTTATACTATGTTTCCAAAGTAGCTTTTTGAAGTTAATTTATTTAATTTTTATATTTCTGTGCTTTCTTTTGGAAAGGATACTACCATTACAGTTAAAAATTATTTTCAACAGCTTTATTGAGATATAACTTAATATTATACCTCAAAAAACTGTAAATGTTTAATGTATCTAACTTGATGAGTTTGGATACATGCATACAATCATGATAGTATCACCACAATCAAACTAATAAACATATGCATCACATCTAAAACTTTCTTTCTGTCGTGTGTGTGTGTGTGTGTGTGTGTGTTAAGAATGCTTAACATGAGATCTACTCTTTTAATAAATTTTCAAGTAAACAATAAGTAGTGATGTTAACTATAGGTAATATATTGTACAGTAGATCTCTAGAATTTGTCTTGCTTAACTGAAACTTATGTCTATGAAACAATGCCCCATTTTCCTTCCCCCCAGCCACTGGCAACTACCATTCTAATCTCTGCTTCTAAGCATTTGACTATTTTAGATAACTTATATAAGCAGAATCACAGTATTTTTCTTTCTGAGGCTGGCATATTTCACTCAGCATAATGTCTTCTAGGTTCATCCATGGTATCATAAATGATAAGATTTCCTTGCTCTTTAAGATTGAATAAAATTTCGTTGTATGTATATATTACATTTTATTTATCCATTCATCTGTTGTTGGATATTTGGGTTGTTTTTATTATATATTTGGCTATTATAAATAGCACTGCAATGAACGTAGGAGCGCAGATATTTCTTTATGTTCCTGTTTTCATTTTCTTTGGATATATACCCAGTAGTCAGATTGCTACATCATATGGTAGTTCTATTTTTAACTTTGTGAAACCTTCATACTGGTTCCATACTATTTTATATTCTACCAATGGTGTGCAATTGTTCCAATTTCTCCACATCCTTGCCAAAATTTATTATCTTTTGTTTTTTCAATAATAGCCATATTAACAAGTACGCAGTGGTATCTCATTCTAGTTAGAAGTTACATTTCCCTGATGATCAATGATGTTGAGCACCTATTCTCATATACAATGGCTATATGCGGAAGAATAAAATTGGACCTCTATCTTATCCTGCACATAAAAATTAACTCAAAATAGATTAAAGGTTTGAATGTAAGACCTGAAATCATAAAACTTTTAGAAGAAAACATAGAAGAAAAGTTTCATAACATCGATCTTGGCAATGATTTCTTGGATAAGACATCAAGAGCACGTGCAGCAAAAGCAAATATAGACAAGACATATTAGATAAAGTACAAAGCTTGGCACAGCAATAGAAACAATCAAATGAGTGAAAAGGCAACCTAGAGGAAGGGAAAATATTTGTAAACCATTTATCTGATAGTTGGTATAAAAATATATAACAAACTCCTATAACTCAATCGCTTAAAAACAAATAAACCAATTTAAAAATGGACAAAGTGCTTGGCTAGACATTTTCTCTAAAAATAGTTTTAACACAAATGATATAAATATGAATAAGAATTTCAGGTGAGATATAAATGTAGACAAATTACCAATGACATTTTAATATTACCACGACTTATGAAAACTTGTTCGTATGATACATATAAACTGGTTATTTATACGTGTTTCATCCAGTGTTCTGAAGATACATTGTCCTATCCAATAATACATTAAAAGTTTTTATGGTTCATGTGGATGTTTTAAGTCCCCAGTTGGAATTTCTGAGTTTCCAGTCGCACTGGGATTTATACCACACTGTTTTAAATTTCTATTTTTATTAAAGTGTATAATTAACCAAATCCCCAGACTCTTTTCACCCCACATCTATTCTTGATCAAGCATTTAGACATGACGTATTCTCCCTCATGGTGACTGGCCCTGGATAGACTAAGGAGGAAATGAGGCCCATCTTCACCTCGCAAACAGGGCTCTCACTACCACCTCCATCAACAGTGGCTCCCATGAAGTGCTTTGGCAGCAATATTAGTGGCTCTTTTTTCTCCTCCCACTGCCCCGTGGAGGCCATTGGTGCCTGAGATAGCTTGAATCCACTCTTCATGCTGACAATGATTTCTCTTGGAAGACATTATTGTTCACAGCATTATAAATGCCTAGAACTAAACCTAAAGATTCTTATTCCTTCCAGAAAAGTCTCTGAGATTTGTCACACCTGGAAGGCCCAGGGCAACATTCTCAACTTTTCAGTGCTGAAAGAACACTTGCTTGTGAAGCTCTAGTTCAACAACAGTTCCTTAAAGAACATATTTTTAATGAACTTAGAAGAAATGCCCAGGTTTGCACTAGAAAAGTAAGGATTTGTAATGTAAAAAGACACATATTCTTAACATAGCACTTTTTCCCTCTTCTTCTGTACTCTGGGAATGAAGTGTCTGACCACTGGAGCAGATTCTCCTTAGCTTGAGGTTAAAACAGTCTCCTATTCCTTATGCAAGTCTCTTCCTCTCCCAATATATCAATGAGAAATCTGTCTCAGTTTGGAGCGAAGGACCTGAATTATAACCCAGACAGCTCTCACTGCACGTTCCTGCTAGTTTAGATTGCCTCTCAAAATATGCCAGAAGAGTAATTGTTTTTTTTATGTATATAAAGTATGTGCTGTTTTTATTACTACTAAAATGTTTTTAAAGTATTTTTTTAATAAAGAATGCTAGGCAGGCACAGCTATTTGCCTATGCAACAACCATTCCTTTCTTATATTTTAACAGATGGTTAGTTTCTATCATGTGGGGCAGCAGTATATTTGGAAGATGATCTCTCCCCACCACAAGGAAATGAATTATATTATTTGCAAACAATAGGATAATTCTAATTTCTCTTTGTCACTGAGTGATTTAGGAGGAAGGACTTTCTCAGGAGGTGGAGGAAGAAAAACTTTGCTCTCTGAGGCTTCTGGGAAATCGTTTGCTTCCCCAGTTACAAAGAAGTAGGAGGAGAAATTCTCCTTTTGCTTTGCCTTCAGAAGCATTTGTATGGGAACATAATATCAAGAGCTGTAGCAACTATCTTTTTACAAGGACAGTCAAGCCTGGAGTTGAAAGTCACCATATCAAAATGTCAGAAAACTGGAAAGAACCTGGGCCCTTGATGACAACACTAGATTTCTGTAATAACCAATCTTGCAATAGCCAGCTTCCAGTGTGATATGATAATAAGCCATTAAAAGGAACAATGTACAGCTATGTGCCACTACATGGATGAACCTCAAAAACGTTAAGTTAGGTGAAAAAATCCAGACACAAACAAACACATATTGTGTAATTCCTTTTATATGAAATATTCAGGATAAGAAAATTCATAAACAGAAAACAGACTAATGATTCCCAGAGGATGGGAGTGGGGAGAATGTAGAGTGATTACTTAATGGATACACTATGCTTTTCTGAGGTATTGAAATAGTTTTGAAACTAGAGAGAGGTGGTGGTTGCACACCATTGTGAATGCACTAAATGCCACTGAATTGTACCCCTTAAAATAGTTAATTTTATGTTAAGTAAATTTCACCTCAAAACAGAAAAAACTTTGGAACAAAAAAGAAAAAATAAGCCCTTTCTTTAAAGTCACTTTTAGATACTTATATTTTCCCTTGCAATTAGAGGTGTCCTAGTGGAAACTGGAGATGAGGATAAACAGACTGTGAATACCATAGCAAAGTACTCATGGCAGGTAGAATTCTAAGGTGGCCCCAATGTTTTTTCCTCTAGTGCCCATGCCTTTCCTCTAGTGCCTCCTGACCTTGAGTGTAGAGAATTGTGACTTGCTTCTAGACAATGCAATATGGTAAAGTTGATGGGACAGTTACTCCTTTGAATTCATTACTTTATATAAGACTGTCTTAGCTTACTGAAGAGATTCAAAGATGGAGATTTCCTGTTGGCCCTTAGGAAGCAAGCCACCATGTTGTGGAGAGGGCCATGTGATGTAAAATGATTGACAGCCTCTAGAAGCTGAGGGCCTCAATCTGCAATCATAAGGAACTGAATGCTGCTGACAAGTAGGCTTGGAAAATGATGTTAATCTGTGGATGAAATCACAACCTTGGCAGACATTGTCATTTCAGCCTAGTGACATCCTGAGCAGAAGACACAGTTTATTCATGCCTGGACTTTTAACCAAGAGAAACTGTGAGATCATAAATGGGTGTTGTTTTCATTCTCTAAATTTGTAATAATTTATTATGTAGCAGTAAAAAACAAAAACAATCCCTCAAAGGAAACCTCTCTGAATAAAGTAAATTGGCAACAAATTTTCTAGTAAATGCCTTTGGAGATCATTAGTAACTTTCTCACTGGGTTCTTAATTTTTCCATTAACTATTTAGCATATTCTTAAAAATAGCTAACTCTAAAATTTAGTCATAGCTTTAATATTGTAATAACTACTTGACTATTTCTTAAACCATCTCTTGTGCATAAAAATGTTCTATAACACAGACTTCCTAAAAGTATGTATTTTATATAAATTTTTCCATTAGTAAATTGTCAATATGCATAATTTTAAACTTGCATTTGCCATTTTCAAATATTAGTTTAATGTCTGTCTATGAATTCATGCTGTTACTACAAAGCACCATAGAATCAGCTGCTTACAGTAAAGCAGAAATTTATTTCTCACAGTTTGAGAGGCTGGAAGTCCAAGAATGGGGTGCCAGGATAGGGGTGGGGGGTTGTACAGGAGGGATACAGATTGCTGACTTCTTGTATCTTCTCATGTTGTGAAAGAACAAGAAAATTCTCTCATATATCTTTTATAAGGCACTAATCCCATTTATGGAAGTTCCACCCTCATGGCCTAATCACCTCCCAAAGGCCCCATCTCCAATTACCATCATATTGGGGTTTGGGTTTCAATATATGAATTTGGAAGGGAAGGCACAAACATGCATCCCATGACAATGGCCAAGTACAAATTATTTGTCTAAGAATGAGTTAAATTGTCAAATCAACTGTGAATACCTAGCCAAACATAATGGTATCTTTAAAAATAATCTTGGAGAAAAAGATCTCCCCATAGATTATATTATTCCATACTCATAAAATTGAGGAAAGCAAAACAGAGAAAAAGAGGGGAAGAAATGAAAAAAAGGGAGAGAAGGAAAGTACATAGTTTTTACAGTCCCTACAGAGCAAAGCATAGGGATAGGTACAGGACAGCTTATTAATGCATGTGACATAATCTTTAAAAATAAAAAAATGTTTAATTAATGCTTAGATGAGAAAAATCCACCACAGGTTTGTGGTCATAAATTTAATACAATAATATGGTGGAAGATAATTTTGACTTGGAGGAAGAAAGAACAATTTTGCAAACAAAGGAAAATGTGTGTTGCTGGGTGTTAGTGTGTGTGTGTATATACATGCATGTGGGTCCAGCTCCACAAGAATAGCCTTTGAGGAAAAGTCAGCAAAATCTGTGAGTATTATTCACCTGGACAAATATGGCTACAATAGATTTTTTTTTTTTTGGAGACGTAGTCTCGCTCTTGTCGCCCAAGCTAGAGTGCAATGGCACCATCTCTGCTCATTGCAACCTCTGGCCTCCCGGGTTCAAGTGATTCTTCTGCCTCAGCCTCCCGAGCAACTGGGATTACAGGCACCTGCCACCATGCCCAGCTAATTTTTGTATTTTTAGTAGAGACAGGGTTTCACCATGTTGGCCAGGCTCGTCTAGAACTGACCTCAGGCGATCCACCCGACTCAGCCTCCCAAAGTGCTGGGATTACAGTCATGAGCCACCATGCCCAGCCAGAAGTTGTTATTTCATTTGCACCTCTTACATTTTTCTGTAAGACAGGCAATTTTTGTTTATTGATTTTTCACAGTTCATTGAGTCATGTTCACATGTTGTATGTCACCTTATTTTTCTCAGTGATAGCATTCTCTTGACTTATAACTCCTCCTGAACCTTAGTTCTACCATAATGCTAAATGCTATTTCCATTTGGGATCTAAACATGTCAACCTCCCTAAGATTTGATCTTCTTTGTATCATTAATAACTGTGATTTTTCTGAAACGTATCATCTTCTGAGTCATAGTTCCTTGGCATCTAAAATGTACAATAACTTTGGAAGAGAAAATAATGTTTAAAAATGGTTTGAATTATCTCTTTTAACACTTGAAATTAAATATTTTCATCACAATTGGAAACCAGTGACCTAGACAGAATGTAAACTTTTTTTCCCTTTGGAAAGTATTGCTGTGAATGCCAGCTCCTCTAAAAAACATCACTATAAGTATAATGAACATGATGCCAGTGATTTGGCATTGCCTAGAAAAATTCATTTTCTTGTTTCCATTGGCCTATTGAAAAATCTCTAAAGGTAATAGATTGTGTGATCCCTTGCAACCATGTGTCCCAACCTCAAGCAGAGATGTCCGTTTCTGGATTTTATTACCCAGTATGATTTGTACATTTGCTTATTACAAATCCATTCACCCTATATTTGCACATATATGTTTATATGTTCCCTCTATTTGTCTTTAAAGTTTGTGAAGTTTGATACCATTCCTTTTTCTTATTTCTTTGGGAATATTTAGCACCTTTACAATGCCTGGCATACAGTAACCTCTAATACAAAAATATTGAATAAATACTAACCACTTTCAGGACTAAACTCAGCATGATGTCACGGTCTTGTCCCATCTTTGAATGTATCCTATCTTTAAAACCTAGATCAGGACAAACTACATAAAAAGATAAATTATTCTCAGGTTTGCTTGCCATTACCAAAGTTTTACACACTATTTCCCTTCTGTAATTGTTCTTTTTACTATATTAGCCAGTTTTCACACTGCTGTAAAGATACTAACCAAGAATGGGTAATTATAAATAAAAGAGGTTTAATTGGTTCACAATTTTGCATGTGCTGGGGAGGCCTCAGGAAACTTACAATCATGGCAGAAGGGGAAGGGGAGGCAGGTACCTCTTCACAAGGTGGCAGGAGAGAGAGACAAGTGCAGGGGAAACTGTTGCTTATAAACCATCAAATCTCATGAAAACTCACTTGCTATCACGAGGACAGCATGGGGAAAACTGCCCCCCGATCCAATCACCTCCCACCAGGTCTCTCCCTGACAAGTGGGGATTACAATTCAAGATGAGATTTGGGTGGGGACAAATGGCCAAACCATATCACTTACTATTCTACTAAGAGAGAGCCAATAATAACTTGAGCTGCAATAGAGATTTAGAGAACAAAAAAGATGATTTGCTTTAACCACGATCAACAGTGTTTAATGATACAAGTTTTATAGACTGCCATCAAAAGTCATACCCAGGTTAAGTCAGTTTCATGCTGCTAGCATTCCTATTGACAAAGCCAAGGTAGCACTACCTAGAACTACCTCATTCAATAGAAATATAATGGGAGGCATATATACAATACTATTCAACCTTAAAAAATGAATAAATTTGTTATTTGTGACAAATGACCCAAATATATGCTGTTTATAAGAAATTCACTTCAAATTCAGTGGCGTAAGTATATTAAAAGTGAAAACAATTGAAAAAAGATGCATGCAAACATTAATAAAGCATGAGTGACTATAATAATATCAGATAAAATAGATATCAGAGCAAAGAAAATTACCAGAGACCGAGGAACATTACACTGATCAGTTCACTAGGAGGACATAATGTTTCTAAATATGCACACATCAATCATCTCTTTCTAATCATTGTTTAATCCTATCCTGAAATAATTTTTTATTCAATACTTATATTGGCAGTAAATTGAGTAAACAGATGAAATATGAACTGAATACTGTTAGTCATTCTGTTCCTATTAATTGAAAATCCAAGTTATAATTTTAAAATGTATGTTCTTATTTTATTTGTATTTAAATTTTTGAGATTTAAATATATAAAATATACTTTGTTTTCTATTTATATCATATTTACATTTCCAATATGTTTACTATGTAAATATAACATATATGTATTAAGTATAATACATATGTTATTTATACACGCACACAGAGAGACCGAAAAGTAGAGAGAGAGAGAGAGAGGGGACCTGAGAATGCTAAAAATGAGCAACTTAGATATGTTGTATATCATGCATGGTTTATTTAGATATTTGTCATGTTAACTACTAATACTTCACTTTGATGTTACCTGTAATAAGGAGTTGATATTGGGGTATATTTATACATCTAAGATATTTTAGTGTTTTATATTGAATTTAACTGAAAGAGAGAAAGGGGGGATAATTGTTAATGACTTATGTTTGGTGAAAAAAATAGAATTACTCATAATTGTGCAGCAAATAGCTCTCAAACTTATATGCCATAATTAAAACCTGGGTATGTTTTGTGTATATTAACAAGATTTAAAACATAGATTATAACAAGTGGATAATTCTATTAAAATTTTTTATTTAATTTTAATTTTTATTTAACTGATAAAGAATATCCTCTTTAAAGCAAAAATCAGGCTGAAAAGAACCACTATCAGTTTTTATTATATGTAGGAACAGAAACAGATTCATTTAATAGTTTTGACATATGTGTATTATTGTATAACTACTGCATGCCTATAGATCTTTTTTCCATTTGCAGTAGATATTCCTAGTGTATTAAAACACAATTCTCTCCTTTAATGTCTATTAATTTTTGAGAAATCTGTGAATAAAATACAATCAGTTTCAAAGCCAAAGTTCACTGTATGGAAATGTTTTTGTTTTATTAAAGACTGTGAATATGTTGTCATTATAAATTTTACTACTTTGTTTTCCTTCTTACTTTCATTTTTTAGAGGTAAAGTACAGGACTACACTTAATATTTTAGTGAAGAAGTCTTAGGCTGAATATATTTATTATCTTACCCATCTATATCCTAATTCTCTGCCTTAGTGCCATCTTTCATCTAACTTGTAAAATTTCCATTAACTTTATACATATAATTCCAAAAACTGAACTCAGGAAGAAAGTGATAATGTAATGGATGCTATTCTATTAATAATAAACTAGCTTATACAAACATAAAATTTCATTTGCATTTCTTTTGTTTGATGATCATAATTCTGTGAGAGAAAATCAAATCCTAAAACAGAGCTTAATAGAAGAATGGTGTAATTTTTCTATTTCTAAATCTATAGGTGTAGAAGTTGTGACTGAGATTTCCTGATTCTAAATCTAGTGCCTTCAATGTATCCTCATTTCATTTTAACATGTAGACATGTCCAGTGGCAGGATCAGAGGGCGAGGCAAGTGCATCTAATGTTTTTACAGTCTCACTCACAATCATGCCAAAACAGTTTTGAATAATTTTGGGTCTCCACAAATCAACACTCACTACTATTCTCAGGGGATATTATAATAAAAATGCAAATCACTCAAAGTTCATCCAAGGAAAAGGCAGCACAACAAATCAATATAATCCAGATAAAGTTGTTGTGGGCAATGTTAGTTCCCAAAAGGATGTATCTGAAAGTAATACAATTATTGTACACGCAGATAAAAGTACAACACTAAATAGATACACAGGGATGTTTCTAATTAGCAGGTCTATTTGCTCAGATACACACATCTGGTCATGAGGAATATTTGGGATTACTATTTTGGAGCTTTTCCTCTTAGTTGAAGCCTTTACTGACTTCTCCAGGAAGATCACTTTAACCCTGAATTCCCAACCAAACCATCATAGCATTTTGTATATTTCTCTGTTATGATCTATTAGCCCATAGGGAAGTACACAGTTCTCCCTTTTTCTCAGTTTGTGTTGTTCTACCCCCAAAATAGGAGTGCTTCTCCAAATTATACAAGTACTATGATCTTTTCATGTGGATTTGGTCTCTTAATAGACTTGCATTTTTTCCTAGAAGACCTGGGAAGATCCAGCATTAATATCACCTGCCTACTGAGACCCTCCTTTCCATGCTAAGATGTAAGCAAACTGATATTGATCCTGTTTCCTCAGAGTGCTAGTATCTAGGGCAAAAGCCAAAGGCCAGATCTTTGCAAGGCATGGGGCAAAACACTTCCTCATCCTACTTTTCCATTTGCATTTTCTTTATGGATTACTGGTCTTCTTGGACTGGTCTTTTATTCACCAGCATGGAGGGCTAGAAAGGGCTAAAGTCCAGGTGTATATTTTAAAACAAATAGGCCAAAGGAAATATCTTGTCCACTTTGATTGTCAGCCTTAAGCTAGTCACTATCCTCAGAAAGAGAAGTTTCTGTGTGGGCCAGTCATGCCAAAATCTAAAAAGGTATTTTATATCAAAGCTTCAAGTGGAAGCAGTTTGGCTTTTTACTTGTTTGTTGACCATATCTTTTGTCCATATATTTTCTTTGAGATCTTAGATAAGTAGTAAGCGACCTATTAAGGATAACATTCAATGGTTCAGAAATCTGTATCTTAATTTTTTGATATCTTTCTATTTTCCAGGCTACCATGCTTTTGTCATGATGATCATTGGTTCATATTTTTGTCTTCTGTCAAACTACACTCCTTGAAGTCATGCGCCACTTGTTATGCACATTCTCTTTTCTAGTTACCTCACAGCCAAGCAGGTACTTGATGCTTGCTGAATAAAAGATCAAAGCATCTTTTATTCCTTGACAGGACCCTCAGACAACCTAGTAAGCATTCGAAAGATAGAATTTTTAAACTGCCACTTGAATGTTCAACTCACATAGAAATACTATTTAAATAAAATGCTTGGCAATTAATTGTTGAAGTCATGTTGGTAAAGTATGACATAACAGGATTGATATCAGCTTCTTACAATTCTCATACTTTCATCCTTCAAAAAAATACTTCACATAAGCTAATTGACCAAAGATTGTTTGTAAATGTGTAAAAATTAAGCAAATTCCTCTATTAGTCCCTGAAAATCTCCTATCCAGCTACATTTCTTAACTACAAGTTATGGACATGATTTATGGGTTAGTTTTTCTAGAAATATTAACCAAAGAGAACAGACCTATACCTGATATTTGTTTTTTAGATGTAAGTTATAGAGGGCCCAGGAACAGATATTTCTTTTATCATTCTTTAATACAATATTTTAAGATACATTTAAGCTTTTTTCTAGGCAAAATGCAATTTAGGAGATAAAGTGAATATTAGGAAGAGTGGTTCTAATTTATCATGGCTTTATCTAACAGCTTGAAAATAATAATTCTGAAGAGCTTTGTAAAAGTATGAAAATTGAATTATTTCTTGCTTGCTTACTTTATCTTTTTTATTTTGTTAATATTGATTGTTTGTATGATTGTGCTTTGCAGTTTTAATTCCCTTAGTAAAAATAATATTTATCTCTGTTAAGAAATCATCTCCTGTTTAGTATCATGATGTGAGCGAAGAATATGAGCTTAGCATAAATAGAAATAAGGACTGCAGATTAGACAGAAACAAAGGAAATACTTTGCCAACCTTAAAAGAAAAGCAGGAATTGTGAGCTGCAGGGGGAAAGAGGCTTTAACTGTCACAGTATTTACCTAATTTATATTCAATACAAGAGTCTTATTTTTTGATATTCAGTTCAAGAAAGTGGCTACATTGATCTTTTAAAACATAGTCTCCAATTTTCCTCTCATTTGGTTTGGCCCTTCAGCTGCAAGTGAATCAATGAACAATGAGACACAGTATTAACATTTTAGATCGTGTTTAAAATGGTTACCCAGTTGGCCTAGATCTGTAAGTCCAGGTGGTGGTTTTGCAATAATCGTGTGGTGATGCATCCCACCTGATAGGTTGTTCTCCCTTTGTCTGGTTCAGTTAGTAAATGTTATTTCATGATTGGCTCTTCTGCCCTGGAAGTTGTCGAGCTGGCTCATGTTACTAAACTCTGATTCAGTTAAACATTGCTAGGTTGTATTAGTTCTAAAATGACTTGTTCCAGTTTGTAACACTGGATGAGGCTATGAGTTTTGTACCATATTAATTTGATCTTACATCCTGGCAATTAGCCCCAAATAGCAATCTTAATCTTGTCCCAAAACAGCAGTAGTAGTTTAAGTATTTCAGTGAAAGTTACCTTAGGGCAAAGCGAATTGCACTGCTAAGCTATAAAGTCTACTTTGTACTTTTATTTAAAGATCTGACTTCTATGTGAACATTCATGAACTATTTTATCCTATTTCTTCCCTGTCTTCTAGATTTCTAATCTATTTGTGGAAGCTATCTTGTTAGTAACTTCCATTTAAAACCAATGTATAAATTTTGAAGTTATTTATAATATTCTTCAAGTCTTGGTTTCATAAAATATATACTAGCTGAATTCTGTCTTGTAATAACTATTATGATATTTCATAAGGATAAATAGGGTAAAAAAATAGACTTGTCCTGAGGTAGGACAAAAGACACTATTTATCAAACATGAACTCTTATTAATGTCTTTTGTTCTAAGGACCTTTAATTCTTACTTATTCCAATACACCTTTTAAAAGAAAACTAGATGCAGCAATATCAGGCATAAGAATTTTTTTTTAGCTTAAGAGGTTCATGCTTCAATTCTTTAATATGTGCCATTCAACATAAGCATGGCAGAACTATGTCCTGAATACACCCTTATTGTTTCCTTTTAGTTTTAGCATTATAAGCAAAAGGAGGAAGAGGAGGAGGAGGAGGAGGACATAAGACACACTCAGAGGTCAGATGACCACAATGACAAAAAATCTAACCATTCATCAGTTATGCAGAATGTGTGTGTGTATGTGCATGCATGTTGGGCATGCACACATACTCATCTGTAAGTTTGTGTGTACAAGGTGTGAAGTAGAGGATAGTATAGAGATTAAAAGTATGGGAAAATACCCTAGCATTGATATCAGGTACCACACTTGTCAGCATACTATTTCTCTCTGAATTAAGTGCATGATTCCTACAAACATTTGAAAAACACAATTGTAGGACTGTCTCCTATATTGGAAAAGGGGAGCATATTTGGAACTTAAGACCTTTTTCAGGCAGAATAAAAAATAATATGTCTGGTGTTCCTATGATCAGTTACCTACTTTATTTTTAGTCAGATGTATTAGATATAATAACAATATGTATAATATTTAAATGCCTCAAAATACGTTTTATGAGGTCTAAACACTTAGACACTAATTTATTATTCTATTCAGTGCTTTGTTACCTTGAATTCAATCAAGACTGTTGAAGTTTTATAGCTGAATATTTTCTAGGATATAAATAGAGAGTATCTTGAAAATAATACATACATATTTTTGATATGTTTTTCTACTGTAAAAATTCTACTACTAAAATATTATGTTTGAAAAGAAAATACTCAACTCAGAAAATAATTTATCCTTAAAAATTCAAAACTTATCATAAGTTAATTTATATTGACCTCCTCCTGTGCTCATATATTATAATCAACCAGTTCCGTAAGAGGATTTAGAGAGCTCCAAATAAATTAAAATATTATTTGTTTCTGCAGCCACTTTTACTTTTTTTAATTTATAAATTAAACATGGTTTCTGTGCAGAAAATGAATTGCTAACCTGGAGGCCTTTGAAAATTATTCTTCTTTATCATAGGAATTTTAGTTTTAATAGTTTCAACCTTGTTTTCAAAAGTTTATTTCAAGTATTTCTGGTATTTAGAAAATGTTCATAAGTCTTATGTTTTAAAATTAATATGTATATCCTACAGACTAAGAGTACTGTATTGACATTTGATATGTCCATTGAAAAAATAATGTTTATAATGCACTTACATACGATTTTTAAAGCCCACATATCTTGCTTATGCTACCAAAAAACTAAAAGATGGGAGGAAAATGGACAATAGGAAAAAATACTTAGAAATATTAATGAGACACTCTAATGAAATATATGGTCAAAATTTCTAGAGGATAATGCGACAATATCTGAAAATGGAGATGGAGCCAATGCAAATGTTGGGGAAGACAGTTCTTATATTAGTCTGTTCTCATGCTGCTAATAAAGACATACTCAAGACTAGGTAATTTATAAAGGAAAGAGGTTTAAGTGACGCACAGTTCTGCAGGGCTGGGGAAGCCTCAGGAAACTTACAATCATGATGGAAGGGGAAGCAAATATATCCTTCACAAGGCATCGAGAGAGAAGGATGAGAGAGTGAAGAAGGAAGCCCCTTGTAAAACCATCACACCTCATGAGAACTTACTCACTATCATGAGAATAGCATGTGGGGACCGACTCCATCATCTAATTACCTCCCATGAGGTCCCTCCCCCAACACATGTGGATTACAATTCAGATTACAATGCCAGATGAGATATGGGAGGGGACACAAAGCCAGACCATAACATTCTGCCCATAGCCCCTCCCGAATCTCATCTTTCTCACATTTCAAAACAAAATTATGCCTTCTCAATAGTTCCCCAAAGTCTTTATTCATTTCAGCATTAACCCAAAAGTCAAAGTCCATCGTCTCATCTGAGACAAGGCAAGTCCTATTCACCTATGAGTCTGTAAAATCAAAAGCAAGTTAGGTACATCCAAGACACAATAGGGATATAGGCATTGGGTAAATACACCCATTCCAAAAGGTAGAAAATGGCCAAAACAAAGGGGCTATAGCCCCATAAAATTCTGAAATGCACTACAGCAGTTATTACACCTTAAAGTTCCAAAATGATCTCCTTTGACTCCATGTCTCACATCCAGGTCACACTGATGCAAGTGTTGGGCTCCCATAGTGTTGGGCAGCTCCGCCCCTGTGGTTTTGCAGGGTAAAGCCCCCGACCCTAGCTGCTTTCACAGTTGACATTTAGTGTCTGTGACTTTTCCAGGTGCACTGTGCAAGCTGTGGGTGGATCTACCATTCTGGGAACTGGAGGATGGTGGCCAGTTGTGGGACACTGTGTGGGAGCTCCAACCTTGCATTCCCCTCTTGCACTACCTAGCAGAGATTTTCCATGAGGACTCTACCCTTGCAAACTTCTGTTTAGATATCATTTCCATACATCCTCTGAAATGTAGGCGAAAGTTCCCAAACCTCAATTTTTGACTTCTGTTCATCCATAGGATCAATGCCACTTGTAAGCTGCTAAGGCTTGGGGCTTGCACCCTCTGAAGCAATGGCCTGAGCTGTACATTGGCTGCTTTTAGTCATGGCTGAAGCTGAAGTAGCTGGGATGCAAGGCACCATGTCCCAAGGCTGCATAGAGCAGGGGGAAACCAGTTTTCCCTTTTACACCTCCTGGCCTGTGATAGGAGGGGCTACTATGAAGGTCTGTAACATGCCCTGGAGACATTTTCCCCATTTTCTTGGTGATTATCATTTGGCTCCTCATTACTTATGCAAATTTCTTCAGGGAGCTTGAATTTCTCCTCAGAAAAATGGTTTTTTTCTAACATGTCATCAGGCTGCAAATTTTCCAAACTTTCATGCTCTGCTTCCTCTTGAATGCTTTGCCGCTTAGAAATTTCTTTCACCAGATACCCTAAATCATCTCTCTCAAGTTCAAAGTTCCACAGACCTCTAGGGTAGGGGCAAAATGCCACCAGTCTCTTTACATAACAAGAGTGACCTTTACTCCAGTTCCCAAAAAGTTCCTCATCTCCATCTGAGACCACCTCAGCCAGGACTTCATTGTCCATATCACTCTCGGCATTTTGATCAAAGCCATTCAACAAATCTCTATGAAGTTCCAAACTTTCCCATGTCTTCCTGTCTTCTGAGCCCTCTAAGTCTCTAGGAATTCCAAACTTTCCCACATTTTCCAGTCGTCTTCTGAGCCCTCCAATTTGCTCCAAACTCTTCTTCTTACCCAGTTCCAAAGTCACTTGCACATTTTGGGGTATCTTTAGAGCAGCACCCAACTTCTAGTACCAATTTACTATATTAGTCCGTTCTCATGCTGTTAATAAAGACATACCTGAGACTAGGTAATTTATAAAGAAAATAGGTTTAACTGACTCACAGTTCCCCAGGGCTGTGGAAGCCTCAGGAAACTCAAACATGGTGGAAGGGGTAGCAAACATGTCCTTCTCCACAAGGTGGCAGGAGAGAGAAGAATGAGAGAGATTGAAGGGGGAAGCCCCTTATAAAACCATCAGATCTTATGAGAACTTACTCACTATCAGGAAAATAGCATGGGGGGACCGCCCTCATGATCTAATCTCCTCCCACAAGGTCCCTCCCCCAACACTTGGGAATTACAATTCAAGATGAGATTTAGTTGGGGACACTAAGTCAGGCCATATTAGTTCTGCCGACCTAGAATTGTCACACTAAGCCTGGCCTATTCTCTGTCATCACACATCTCTTCACTCTCCTCAGCCAGGCTTCATGTTGATCATCCTCTCCACTCAGTTGTCTAGTTGTCTATGATTGTGTTCAATAACATCCATCTTTTCTTTTAACACTCTCCACTGCATGAATAATAATAAAAAGTAATGAATACCCCTGCTTGTAACACATTTTATAAATTTATAATCAGATTTAATATATCTTTGAAATCAAACCATAGTAGAGAAAAAATAAAATATTTGTCTTTTATCTGCTTATCATGAGATGAGTCTGATTTTATCTCTTGCTCAGTTGCTGTGCTTGCTATAAAAGAGAAAGCTTAAATTCTCATTCTAGATTTTTAAGTTACTCTTTTGATGGGTGATATATTTTGGATGTGTGTCCCCTCCAAATCTCATGTTAAAATATAATCCCCAATGTTGGAGGCGAGGCCTCGTAGGAGGTGTTTGGATCATGGAGCGGATCTTCCATGAATGACTTGGTGCCCTGCTCCTGGTAATAAGTTCACACAAGATCCGGTTGTTTAAAAACATGTGACACTTCCCCCCATCTTTGCTCCCACTTTCACCATATGATGAACCCACTCCCCCCTCATCTTCTGCTATGATTGCCAGTTTCCTGAGGTCCTCACCAGGAACACATGCCAGCACAATGCTCACTGTATAGCCTGCATAATCATAAGTCAAAATAAACCTCTTATCTTTATAAATTGTTCCATCTCAGGTATTATTTTATAGCAATGCAAATGGACTAATGCAGAAAATTGGTACCCAGGAAAGAAGTTTTGCTATTAAGTTACCTAAAAATGTGGAGGCAGCTTTAGAAATGGGTAACAGGCAGAGGTTGGAAGAGTTTGAAGGGCTCAAAAGAAGACAGAAAGACAGGAGAAACTTTGTAACTTCTTAGGAACTTATTAAATGATTGTGATTAAAATGGTGATAGAAATGTAGACAGTGATGGTCAGGCTGATGAGATCTCAGATGAAAGTAAGGATTTTATTAGGAACTGGAGCAAAAGTCACCCATGTTACACTCTAGCAAAGCATTTGGCTGCATTGTGTCCATATCTTAATATCTGTGAACTTTGAAATTAAGGGTAATGAATTGGTTGTCTGGCAAAAGAAATTTCTGATCATTCGAGGTGTGGCCTTCCTGTCTCTAACATCCTAAATCAAATGTAGGACCAAATAAATGACTTGAAGTTGTAACTTATATTTAAAAGGAAGGTGGAGTGAAAAAAAATGGAAAACTCACAATCTGGCCATGTGATAGAGAAGAAAAGATCATTTTCAAGAGGGAAATTCAAGTGGACTGTGGAGAAACTACTTGCTGGAGAGATTAGCATGACTAAAAGGGAGCCAAGTTCTAATATAGAAGACAATGGGAAAAAGACTTCAGGGCATCTCAGAGATCTTGGAGTCAGGCTCTGCCATCACAATCCCCCTTCCAAACCAAGGCCTAAGAGGAAAGAAAGGTTTCATGGGCCAAGTCAAGGGCTCCGTTGTCCTGCTTATCCTTGAGACACTGCTGCCGGCATCCTGGCTGCTCCAGCTTCAGCTGTGGCTCAAAGGATTTCAGGTGAAGCTTGGGTTGCCACTCCAGAAAGCACAAGCCACAGGCCTTGGTGATTCCACATGATGTTAAGCCTGCTGGCATGCAGAATGCAAGACTGAAGGAAGTTTGGCGCTTCCACCTAGATTTCAGAGGTTGTATCCGAAAGCCTGGGTGCCCAGGCAAAAGCATGCTTCAGGGGAAGAGCTCTCACAGAGAGTCTCTGCTAGGGCAGTGCTGAGGGGAAATGTGGAGGTGGAGCCCCACACAGAGTTTTCAGCATGGCACTGCCTAAAGGAGCTGTCTAAATGGGTCTGCCACCCTCCAGACTCCATGGTAAAGCCAAAGCAGCCTGCAACCTCAGCCTAGAAAAGCTGCAAGCATTCACCTCCAAACCATGAAAACAGCCACAGGGGTTCCCCCTACAAAGACAGAGGGGCAGAGCGGCCCAAGGCCTCAGGAGCTCACCCCTTATCCCAGTGTGCTCTGGATGCAGGACACAGAGGCAAGGATTATTTTGGTGCTTTCTTTAAAATTTAATGCCTGCCCTTCTGGGTTTCAGAGAATTGTATGTGGCTTGATGCCCCTTTCTTTTGGCCAATTTCTCCCTTTTGAGATGAGAACGTGTATTAGTCTGTTTTCACACTGCTAATAAAGACATACCTGAGACTGAGAAATTTAAGAAAGAAAGAGGTTTAGTGGACTTACAGTTCCATGGGGCGAGGAAGGCCTCCCTCACAATCATGATAGAAGGTGAAAGTCACTTCTTACATGGCGGCAAGAGACAGAATAAGAACCAAGTGAAAGGGGTTCCCCTTATAAAGCCACCAGATCTCTTGAGACTTATTCACTACCACAAGAAAAGAATGGGAGAACTACCTCCCATGATTCAAATATCTCCACCAGGTCCCCCCCATAACATGTGGAAATTATGGGAGCTATAATGTATGATGAGATTTGGGTGGGGAAACAGCCGAACCATGTCATTACACCAAAGTTCCTCCCAAATCTCATGTCCTCACATTTCAAAAGCAATCATGCCTTCCCATCTATCCCTCAAAGTCTTAACTCATTTCAGCATTAACTCAAAAGTCCACAGTCCAATGTCTCATCTGAGACAAGGCAAGTCCTTTCTGCCTATGAGCCTGTAAAATCAAGATACAATGGGGAAACAGGCATTGGGCAAATATACCCTTTCCCAGAAGGAAAAATTGGCCAAAACAAAGGGGCTACAGGTTCCACGCAAGTCTGAAATTCAGCAGGGCAGTCAAATGTTAAAGCTCCAAAATGATCTCTTTTGACTCTACATCTCACATCCAGGGAACACTGATGCAAGGGGTGTGTTCCTATAGTCTTGAGCAGTTCTGCCCCCATGGTTTTGCAAAGCACAGCATTCATCCTGGCTGCTTTCAAAGGCTGGCATTGAGTGTCTGCAGCTTTTCCAAGTGCACTGTGCAAGCTGTCAGTGGATCTACCATTCTGGGGTCTGGATGATAGTAGTCCTCTTCTCACAGCTCCACTAGGCAGTGTTCCTGTGGGGACTCTGTGTGGGGTCTTCAACCCCACATTTCCCTTTCTCACTGCTCTAGCAGAGGTTATCCATGAGAGCTCCACCCCTGCAGCAAACTTCTGCCTGGACATCTAGGCATTTCTATACATCCTCTGAAATCTAGAGGTTCCCAAACCCCAATTCTTGACTTCTGTGCACTTGCAGACTCAACATCATGTGGAAGCTGCCAAGGCTTGGGCTTTGCACCCTCTGAAGCCATGACCTGAGCTGCAGCATGGCCCCTTTTGGCTGTGGCTAGAGCAGCTGGGACACAGGATACCAAGTCCCTAGGCTGTACTCAGCAGGAGGACCCTAGGCCTGTCCATGAGACCATTTTTTCCTGCTAGGTCGCTGGGCTTGTGATGGGAGGGGCTGCCACAAAGGTCTCTGACACATCTTGGAGACATTTTTCCCATTGTGCAATTAACATTTGACTCCCCATTACTTATGCAAATTTCTGAAGCCAGATTGAATTTCTCAGAAAATGGGTTTTTCTTTTCTATTGCATCATCAGGCTGCAAATTTTCCAAACTTTTATCCTCTGCTTCCCTTTAAAACAGAATGCTTTTAACAGCATGGAAGTTATCTCTTGAATGCTTTGCTGCTTAGACATTTCTTCTGCCATATACCCTAAATCATCTCCCTCAAGTGCAAAGTTCCACAGATCTCTAGGGTAGGGGCAAATGCCACCAGTCTCTTTGCTAAAACATAACAAGAGTCACCTTTGTTCTAGTTTCCAAAAAGTTCCTCATCTCTATTTGAGACCACCTCAGCCTGGATTTCATTGTTCATATCATTATCAGTATTTTGATCAAAGCCATTCAACAAGTCTCTAGGGTGCTGCAAACTTTCCTTCATTTTCCTGTCATCTTCTAAGCTCTCCAAACTGTTTCAACCTCTGCCTGTTACTCAGTTCCAAAGTTGTTCCACATTTTTGGTTATCCTTTTAGTAGTGTTCAGTAGTTCACTCTATTGGCACCAGTTTACTGTATTAGTCTGTTTTCATGCTGCTAATAAAAAAAAAACCCCAGAGACTGGTCCATTTACAAAAGAAAGAAGTTTAATGAACTTTAAGTTCCATGTGGTTAGGGAGGCCTCATAATCATATGAGAAGGTGAAAGTGAAAGGCACTTCTTACATGGTAGTGGCAAGAGAGAGAATGAAAATCAAATGAAATGAATTTCTCCTTATAAAACCATCAGATCTTGTGAGACTTATTCACCACCACAAGAACAGTATGGGGGAAACTTCCCCCATGATTTAATTATCTCCTACCAGGTCCCTCCCATAACATGTGGGAATTATGGGAGCTACAATTTAAGATGAGATTTGGATGGAGAAACAGCCAAACCATATCAGAATGTTTATCCAATTCTTATATCATTATTGTATCTTGGAAGTAAATATCTTATTTTTTATTTTACAGGCTCATAAATGGAAGAAACTTACTTTGCACCTCAAATAAGACTTTGGACTTTAAGTTAATGCTGGAATGATTTAAGACATTTGGAGACTGTTGGGAAGGCATGATTGCATTTTGCTTTGTAAGAAAGATGTGAGATTTCGAGGGCCAAGGATGGAATGATGTAGTTTGGATGTTTGTCCCCTATAAATCTCATGTTGAAATGTAATCTCCAGTTTTGTATGTTGGGCCTGGTAGGAAGTGTTTGGATCATTGGGGCAGATCCCTCATGAATGGCTTGGTGCCCTCCTTGTTAAAGTGAGTACATTCTTGCACTGAATTAACATGAGATCTGGTTATATAAAGGAGTGTGTCACTTCCTCTCCCACTTCTCTCACTCCTGCTCTCACTACGTGATGTGCCTGCTCCCCTTCATCTTCTGCCATAATTGTAAGCTTCCTGTACCCTCACAAGGAACAGATGCTGGTGCCATACTTCCTGTGCAGCCTGCAGAACTGTGAGTCAAAATAAATCTTCTCTCTTTATAAATTACCCAGGCTCAGGTATTCTTTTATGGCAATGCAGTCTAACACAATGGGCACTCCATTTCTTTAAGCTTTAGTGTTCTCATATGAAAAACAGAGTAAATAATATTTGCCTTATCAGATAAAATTAAGATTTAAGATTTGGCTGTATGTAAAACACCCAGGATATATGTTCTTTGTAGTGGGTTGAATAGTGTCCCACAAAATAAAATGTCCAAGTTCTAAACCCCAATATCCATGAATGTGACCTCATTTTAAATTAGAGAGTTTACAGATGTAATTAAGTTAAGAATCTCAATTTGAGATTATCTTCAATTTAGGATAGGCTTTTACTGGTGACCTTTTAAGGGAAAAATAAAAGAGGGAAATTGGACACACACAGAAAAGTCTATGTAAATTTTGTGGCCGACATTGAAAGTATGAATCCCTTAACCAAGGATCATTAAGAGTTGCTGGCAGAAGTTAAAATAAAAGTGTGGAATAGATTCTCCCGTAGAGTCTCCAGAGGGAATTAATTCCTGCCAACACCTTGATTAAGGACTTCTGGCCTCCAAAACTGGAGAAATACATTTCTGTTTGTTTTTGTTGTCAAGTATGTGATAATTTGTTACAGCAGCCCTAGGAAACAAATACAGTCTTCAGAATTGATTCTCTTTAATTCTCATGTTTTCTATGAGATTGTATATTTTTAAGGCTGATATTGAGTTGGTGTGCACCAATATGGCCATAGAGTTAAATGTAGCTGGCATTGATTTTTTTATTGCCCCACTCTGATAAGATTGGGCCTGTACCATAATTGTTATTAAATATTTTAAGTGATACCCTTCTATATTTATTTTATTGATTCATCCTGACCACCAAGAAAATGGTCATGGATGGTGTATATCTTGAGAACAGAAGTAAATTTAGAATAGAAGTTTATGGGAGATGGAATGCAACAAAGTATGGAAGGCAGAGGATATGGTCTAACTAGGGTTATATTGCCTGGCAAGACAGGAAATCCTATGAGTCTTCAGATGAAAACAGGGAATATTCATTCATTGCTTTTTAGAGTAGAAATACATGTAAGTCCAGATGCCATCTGCCTGAAAACAAAAAAATTATTCAGTGTGCCAAATCAGGCATATGAACCGGAGTGTCTCTCAAGGTCTTTTCCAAGACTAAACATCTGTGACCTTTTGGCTAGATTTCAACTACTTTAGGGCAGCTTCAGACTACAGGAATAATTAGATTGGCAGACTTAGACAGTGCTCTAGGTATTTATGGAAAGTGAAAAGTGAACAACATTTCATGTTCTTAAGGATTGTAAAGTCTAATTAGAAAACTGAGATGTAATGTAACAACAAGCAGTAGCAAATTATAAATGTCATCCAAGAGGCAGTGGCAGAAATCAATTCCTGACTTCATTGTTCATTATGGATCTAGACCAAGAGCTTGCTGTAGGCTATAGACACCAAAATGTACCCATGTAATGCATATGGCTTTTCTTTTACAAGTAAGTATATTACTAAATGTTCTTCCCGTATGTTTACCCTTGAAAATTAGGCTAGAGCTGTTCATAGTGAAGTTTTGTCTCAACCTAGATAGCACTGCATGGTAAATAATAATAATAAATTAAATTAAATAAGATTTTCTATTCTTGAAAAGTATATTTTTTCTCCCAATGAAACCTATTTGTTTATTGAATATTGCTACCTCAGAAATCAAAGATAAAATTTTATATTTAAAACCATTTTTGGTTTTGCTTTCTTACTCCATTAAAATATAAGGTTTTAAGGTAAAAATAATTAAAGTCTAGAAGAAATAGACATGATTGCCTGTACAGTTTTATTGCCTTTATTTCTCTCTAAAACCTACTTTTCCAAACTGGGCTTACTTAACTATATCCTTGTTAAATACAGTAAAGGGAGACAAAACAATGGTTTTAATATAAAAGAATGCAGCGTACCAAAGGGAAAAATAGTAATGCTCTGTGAAATAATTTTTTAAAGAAATAATTAAGTGGAAATTTCTCTGAATATAAAGCAGATAACTCTATCTTCCATTATTTTATGACATGAAAAATAATTGAAAACAGTTATGTTTTCAGTTAGTTATAAATTTTAAAAACTAGCAAATATGTTCCAAACAATTTGTGGTCTAAATATCTGTACAACAGATAAAAATTAGAAATGTTTCACAATCTAATTGCACATTTGTATTTAAATTTATGTGAAAAAGGAAAAAAAACTTTAGAGGAGACATAAAAAGAAATACCCCTATGGACTGCTGTACTCTTACTTAGGACTGAGTCTAATTTTCGGTCCCTTCCATTTCCTTGTGAGACCAACCTAATTTGGCAAAATTGATTCTTAGGCTTTTTATGCAAGAAACCCTTTACTGGGGGTATTGATTAGAATGAGAAAATGGTATAAGCCATCTCTTTAATAACATCCACTTCAACAGTCTTGAGATGCTGTGCACTTCATTGACGAAGCTTCCCAGAGTGTGGATTCCCTCTTCCATGTAAAAACACATTGTTCATGATCAAAAACTCTGAAACAAATTCTACAAATACTATTTTCTATAGCACTGACAGTTATTTATCCACTGGTAATATCCAAGAGCCAGATTTGTCTCAGATGGTGTATTCTGTAACAATCACACAAAACAAACAAAAGAAAACACAGCTTAGAGATGTCTCCTGATCTGACCCAGAGATTCAGGGTTTTCTGCTTTTCAAAGAGGCTGAAATAGGAAAGAGTCGATGTCCCAGCTATACTAAATACCATGCTTTACTAATTACCCTGAATATTCACCTGTGGACATAACTAATCTTTGTTCAGTTCAGTGGTTCCCAACTATAAGCACCATATTAGAATTACCTCTGAAGCTTCTAAACTTCCTGTAATCCAGGCCACACCCCAAAACAATTAAATCAGAATCTTGGTTGTGATATCTAGCATGAGTTAAAATTTAAGTTTCCCAGTTCTTCCAGTGTGCAGCTAGATTGTTTTCCTTACTTCAGATGTTTGAAAGTATTCACTAAACTTACAAGGGTATACTCACATGGGGCTTTTATTTAAAGGAAAAACTGATGCAGGAAAATGCCTAACAGTGCAGGCAGGCATTAGAGGTCGGAAAGACATTCCAGAATTTGACCTACCCTGGATGATTTCTTTCTCATACACAGGACCATGCTGCATACAGATTTATTTACATTTCTAACTTTAATCTTTTTTTATTGAAAATCATGACTACTAAACATCATAAGGTTGTTTTCTATATAAGTCAGTTGATTTCAAAGTGCAATATTTAGTACACAAGCATACATTGCTTGTATAGCATATCTGATTTAACTGGAAATAAAATCTGTAGCGTTTGTGATACATATCTCATGTTTTGACTTATATAATTGTATTTAATTTTAGTTTGTATAATTGCCTTCCTCAGAAATGCCTTTATTACTAGTTGAAAGTTTAAAATACAATCTGATTAAATTATTACTTTTTAGCTTCAGTTTCAAGAGATTGAGCAGAGTTTCTCGATACTAATTACTCTTAAAATCAACGATTTGGTAAGTACAAAAAGGATTTCAGGTCCATTTTTTTTTCTTTTTTCATCATTGAATGTAATATCATTGGAAACACAGAAAACTGTAATCTATTAACTATAATATCTGCCTTTTGGGAATCCTAGGTATTATTTCATATTATAGACTTTTTTCTCCTTTTAATCACAATGTCCTACCATCCTATGGAATAAATCCTATTGTCTCTCAACCAAATGTCTCCTTGGTACATTTTAAGATATTTTCCCAATGTGATTGTTGTCAGGCCTCTTAGCTGAAGCTCAGCCATTGTAACCCTTGTGACCTGAACATATACGACCAGATGGCCTGCAGGAGCCAAGAAGTCTGGGGCAACCTAAAACTACAAAAGAAGTGAAGCAGCCAGCTCCTGTCTTAACTGATTGACCAACCTTACGACATTCCATTATGACTGGTTCCTGTCCTGCCCCAACTGATAGATCGACCTTCTGACATTCTTCTTCTGAACAATGAGTCTTATGATCTCCCCACCATGCACCTTGTGACCCCCTCCTCTGCTAACCACAGATAACCACCTTTAACTGTAACTTTCCACTGCTTCCCCCAGTCCTATAAAACTCCCCCACCCCTATCTCCCTTTGCTGACTCTCTTTTCAGACTCAGCCCACTTGCACCCAAGTGAAATTAACAGCCTTGTTGCTCACACAAAGCCTGTTGGTGGACTCTCTTCAACGGATGCGCTTGACAACTGTCTTCTCAAAAAGCCGCTCTGTTGGAGTCATTATACATATCATCCTATTACTACTAGGCTTATTTTCTTGTCAATGCCTATGTGGTAAACATATCTACTACGTTACTATAAAGTTTTCATCATATTATTTAGTTTGCCAATAGGTTATTTAACGTATTTTTACATTATGAATGACACTTCAATGAATCATGATAATATTAAAGTACCAGCTACTAATATTTTGTAATCAGCCCAAAATGTAATAATAACCTGGTTATAATTATCCATACATATTATAATATCTAATAGCAAAAACGCTTCCAAGTAGTTCTAACAAGGAAGGTATCTCTTCTATGAATCAATTTTACAAAGATTTTTAAGAGGTAATAACCCCAAATTTTAACAATTTTAGCAGCTTTGTTTTGGTGCCAATTCGAGTTGAAAATGGCACAAACCATTTTCCAACCTGAGTCATCCTTTATACTACTGGCTTTAAAATTCAAATATAAAACAAGTCATTAGCCTTATAACGAACTTTTTAAATGTTAATTTTTCTTAATTGATTTCTCTAGACATTTTTCTTTGAGATAGAAATCAAATTATTTTACTGTTTTGGTAGCTCAATTTCAGTCATCATTACTAAGATTAGTAATTTTATATTTATCTCTCAAACCTTAGCTGTAGAAATGTAACAGTTAATTAAGTGTAATGTATGAATGCAAAAATAAAGTTACAATCTTAGTTATTGGTAATTGTGGTTAGTTAAAAATCTCATCAATGAATAAGCCATAGATCAGAATTTTTCAATAATGGAATAAGCTCAGAAAATATATAAAACTTAAAGAATATTTTGTCAAAAATTTTATGGAAAAGCCTAAATCCTAATAATAAGGTTAGGATTGAGAAAGTTCCTATTAAGAGATTAAGTAGGCCTGCTGTTGACTTTGTCTCACCCAGCTGTATCAATATTCCATCTGGATTGCTTGAGTGGTAAATTACAGTGCTGCAGTAAAATAGCATAAAATAATAACCTTCAGTTTTCCCTAGAGTATATTGACCTTTTTCCTAGGCTTTAAGCTCCTTTGAATCTTGTTAATGTTTAATTCATACAGCAAATGAATGAAAAGGTAAAGTTTTCAATTTTGTAAAACATCACTGAGCATTGCAAAATGAGAGGGAAACATGACTTGGTTACTTTACCTGATTTTAATATTGAACTAAGTTAATTTAAGAGCAGCAACCATGGCTTTTTCCACTTGTGAAAAAGTAAGGCAAATCTCTTGCCAATTATATTAGTCATGCCTTTTAATTCCCTGTTCATAAATATCTGTGACCCTAATCTCAAATTATTTTCTTTTCATAGCAAATTCAAAAAACTGAGATATATTTGAATGCTAGCATGTTAGAAAAATATTTTAAATAATGGCAAAAACAAGAAGTATATAATTAACAGGTTGAATTGTGCCCACCAAAAGAGAAATGCTAGGCTTCAGAATATTTTAAGAAGACTAGACATAATAGCATGCTCCTGCTATTATGTTCATGGGGAAGAACAATGACTGAATTTTGGGAAACAGTTTTGACTGTGATAAAAAATGATTTTTTTTAGTATTATTATCTGTTTCTCAAACATTATAAATACAGAGAATTTAAATAAACAGGTCTTTAAGAACTTGTTGTTTCTAAAACTAATTGGCCACTATTAAGTAGTATGAGCATGGCAGCAGTCAGCCCCACCCACGATGAAGTAGCTACGTGGTGCCCATGGCCACTGGCTGCTGCTTAAGAAATGAGGGCAGGGACCAAGTATTTAATCAAGGGTTATTCTGGGCTGACTTTTTTTGTGAGGTATATTATATGTACTGAATAATTAATTGCAGGAAAAAAAAATCTGTGAAATAGAAAATGACCTTCTTTAACAAATGATGACATTGAGAGTCTCTATGGCTCCTGTAATTTACCATAGCCTAGGAGGCAGAGTTCAAAGTTAAACCAAGTTCTCTTTGTTCCAAAACCATATTGTCCAAAACCTGAGCTTAAATTAAAATATTGAATAATTAATTAAATGCTAAATTGATTGTCCTAGTGTAATTACTGAGGATGATTTACGGGGCAAACTTAATTTACAGAAAGTCTACTTTGTTTCTCCTTTGTTCATTCCCATGGTTCATCCTAATATTTAATACCGAGCTCTAAAATTGGAAAAAAGAATTATTCCTTATAGTAAATTTACTTGCAAAAGCAATGATACCAGTTGCAGTTTCTTCTACCTTCTACCTGTTTATAGGTGAAAGATTTTCAGAATGTGGATTAAATAAAGCTGCACTCATTTTCAGGCATTTAGTCTGACTTCTTAATAAAATCCTTAGAGAAGAGTCACAGACATTACAGGAGAGCATCTCATTCCTGGAGCTCAGCCCTTCCATCCTTTGAAACCAAGACAAACATCGATTGGTCCCTGCATTCAAGGCTAGTTTCTTCAGAAATTAGAAAGTGAGTGTGAATGAGGCTAAAAGGGCTGGTCTTTTTTTTAGGCAACCAAAGGAGACAAGTTTTGACAATATTATACATCATAACAATGTCTTGTCAGATACTTAGAGTAGTGCAAAATTATCACAGTTCCTCTGTATAGTTAGTAACTCCATGTCCATCTAGTCTTAACATCATTCAGTTCCCAAAATGCCAACCTGTATTCCCTCTGTCTAATCCAGCAACTAACTCCAATCCTATGCTGTGCTACCCCTTTCTGATTAATCTCTGTTAGCTGTTTTTTGACTCTCCTTGCTGTGCTCTCTGAAAACCCTTTATGTTCTCAACCTCTTGACTGAAAGTTCTTTTGTAAACTTGAGCATAATTGAAACTTGACTTCCTATCCACACACCCCATGACATCTCCCATGTCAGTGTTATTGTACAGTGTCCCCCTACATAAGCGTGTTGACCCATTAGCTCCAGTAATCTTCACCCTTCTTAGTCCCATGAGGATGTGGAATATTTTGTGGAACACTAGGTCAGGATTGAGAAATGTGCTTAAATATGCTAATGAGCAGCCATGAGAATCTCAGTGCTCCCTACATTTTCATTTTTGCTTTTCTAAACAGTTCTGTAATATTCCATGTTTTGGGGGGCCATTTTTATTTTTTGCCAGTCCAGTAAACATAAAACACAGCTATTCCATGTTTTTTGTCATTTAAGAGATCAGTCAATACTGGAATGGGTGTAATTTTCTAATTCTCAAGAAAGCAACATTGATTCAACTTGGGTGAAGGTTTTCCTCTGGTCTAATCACTATGACTGCGGCCAGGTAGACTCTCATTTTGCACCTCTAATTGTCCAGAACTATATGAACATATAAAGAGTGAGAAGGAAATCTCCATATGGTGGAGCTGGGCTGACATCTTTATAGCATCTAGGTACTTAGAGCACAGAGTAGTTATTGAGATTTGGATCTCAATTTTTCACATGGTCTCACTATTTCTCAGGGGATAATTCTACTTTCTACTTTACTGATAAATGAAGGTTTCTCCTCTTCCACATAGAATCTATTTTCCACCTGTTGCCATGATATGGAAACAACTCCACAACAAACAAAAAATTTGGATAGATTGTAAATTGAGCTTATGAATTGAGCATTGTGCTGATATAAAATCTGATGAAAATTGCACTGAATTAAAGGAAATGCAGTAAAATGTCTCCAGTGACTAAAAACCAAGCTACAAAATAAAATCCTAGTCTATTTAATATATTTAAATTTCTTCTCTCCCTTTTCAGGGCTCAAATAGTGGCTTAAATATATGAGCTTGTAATTCCTATTGTTTACTAAATTCTACTTTGGCAGTAGGTTTCATCTCTTCTAACCTACATAGGACTCAGGCAATTCCCCCTCCACCCTACTCTGCAAATCTTCAACTTTCTCTTCTACATGGGACCATCAGATCGGCATAAAAATATGTTATTTCTCCTACCATAAAAAGCAAACAAAAAAGAACAAATAAAGCCATAACATTCTTTTTAGCCCCACTTTCCTCTCCAGGTACTACCCCATAGCAAAACCCTTTAAAACCGTTGTATATAACAATGATTTTCAATGTTCTCCTCCCATTATCTCTGATACCCACCATGCTACTAACAATGTTCTCAGCCAGGGTGTTAGTGCACTCCATGCTGCTACTACTGATGCAAATTCTCAGCCCTCATCTCACTTGTCTATCAGCACCACTTGGTACAGACTGTCCATTCTGATGCTTCCCTTAGCTTCCTTGATGCCTCACTCTGTAGGTCTTTCTCCTAAGCCAATGATGTTCCTCCTCAGCTTTTTTTGTGGATTCTACTTCATCCTCAAAGCTCATATTTGTAGTATCACTGGCTCATTCCTCAGCCCTTACCTGTATCTACAGTCACTCCTTTGGTGATTTCATCCCATTTCATGGCTTTAAATACTTTCTATATAATAACTCCCAGATTTATGTTTCCATCCAAGATCTCTCCTACTAAATCAGATTCAGATATCCAAACTGTCTGCACAAAATCTCTACTTAATTACCTAATGGGCAGCTCAACTATAATTTGTGCAAAACTAATGTCCTGAATTCTACTATGTCCAAACAAATCTGTTGCTTTTTAGGTTTCTGCTATCTCAGTTAATTCAAATCCTATTGCTGTAGAAAAATAGCTTCATGTATACCCCTCATATGTGATATTTAACTAAAGCCTGTTTGCTCTGCTTTGAGAACATTCAAATTCTGAGATTATTCACCACCTCCACTGCGTACAGCCTGATCTGACATCCTCAACATCTCTTGCTTGGATTACTGCAATTGTTTCCTAATCAATTTCCTGATTCCTCCCTTGCCCTCTACTGCATATTTTTAACCAAGCAGTTAGAGGAATCATTTTAGAAACAAAATTCAGATCATGACACCTTCCTTCCTGAAACTTCCCAGTGAATTTACGACTCACTCAGAATAAAACCCATAGTTATTTGCTAAGTGATCTGGCACCCTGCTCCCTCTCTGACCTCATGTTCTCTTACTTTATCAGCATTTCTTATTCCTTGCTGCTGTTTTATTTCTTCCCATATCAATTTTCAGGTGATGCATTATGTATTTTTCTCTTGATTTTGACTATTTTTAGTTCTCTCTCTTCTAGTATATTAATTCCATGAGGTCATCTACTGTTGTAAATTTTCCTTTTGGCTCTATCCCTAGCACTCAGAGTACTTGGCACATAACAAGTCTAAAAGTATTTGCTGTGTGATTAAAACAAAACAAAATAAAACAAAACAAAAAAACATAAAATACCACTCTCTATGAAAAGCCTGGGAACTCTGCTAGTTCCCTTCTGGGTTCCTTTTCCCTACATTTAATCACTACCTGAAACTTTGAGTAAGACTCCATAACCCTGAAAGTAATAAGTAAGATGAGACCATTGTCCCTTCACCTTACTATGCTATCCCTTCACTCCATGATTACCACCATGGAAAATCTAGGTGAAGAGGATCTGCAGTAATTTTAGAAAGAAATTGGAGGATAAGTGAAAGTAATTAATTTATTAATTTGTCCAAAAACTATTTATTATCTTGAAATTCCTTTTGAGTCTCAAAGGAATTGCTACCAGGCATTTAGACTCTTTACCAGGAAACAGTCACCTTTGAGATCCACATGCAATCCATTTTCTTTGCCCTCAGGTGTTCACTCCCTCCAAAACCATTTTTGTTAAGCATCCCTTCAAATCATCACAGCTCCCCAACCAAATTATTACTCAATGATTCCAACCCCCAACCACCACCACCTTCTGAAATTCCTTATAGAAAATCCTAAAATATCTTTAAGCCCGAAGTAGCATCCTCTCAAAGACTCAGTGAGTTATTTTGTAAAGTCATTGCAGCCCTAATCTTATAGTATATGTCTTTTTATTAGAAAAGGAAGGTTGAGAGTAGCATGGAGTAGGTGAACTCTTCTTGGTTAGATTTCCTTTACTATATTTTTGCTAGTGTAATTGTTAGGCAACAGATATATTCTACTGTTGCACATAACACACATATATACACATATATATACATATATATACACATATATACATATATATACATATATACATATATATACACATATATACATATATATACATATATACACATATATATACATATATATACATATATATATATATATATACATATATATATATATATATATATATTTTTTTTTTTTTGAGATGGAGTTTCATTCTTGTTGCCCAGGCTGGAGTGCAATGGCAGGATCTCAGCTCACTGCAAGCTCTGCCTCCTGGATTCAAGTAATTCTCCTGCCTCAGCCTCCCGAGTAGCTGGGATTACAGGCACACACCACCATGCCCGGATAATTTTTTGTATTTTTAGTAAAGACTGGGTTTCACCATGTTAGCCAGGCTGGTCTCAAACTCCTGACATCAGGTGATCCACCCGCCTCAGCTTCCCAAATTGCTGGGGTTACACGCATGAGCCACTGCGCCTGGCCCTGTTGCACGTATTAAATTAAATATATTTACATCTTTACAAAGAGAATTTGTTTTCAGGGAGACAAAAATCTAAATTGTGAAATAATTATTTACCAATTAAAAAGTTTCTTTGTTTTCTTCAACTATCACAAAATCAGCATGCACATTTGTTGTAATGTCTATCACTATTCCACCAGGATATGTTCTTAAAGAACTTGACAAAATAATGCAAAACTCTATTTGTAGGAATTCATATGTAGATAAAGCTAAAATTATTATTATGAAAAAGAAAGAATTGTTGTTACTACCTAATTTAAAATGTATTTCAATAAAATAAGAATTAAAACAGTGTGACACTAGTGTGAAAAAGAACATATACTTTGACTCAGAATTAATAGAACATATACTTTGAATCACAATTAATAGACCAAAAAAATTGTCATATATCAGACAATTTAGTGTAATCCATATGGAATTTCAAAAACATGAGAATTGGATATACAATAAATGGCCTGAAATCATTAATTGCATACTAGTAAAAAATAGTTTGCAAATTCATGCATGAAACAATTTTCAGATATAAAAGAAAAGAGAAAAAATATTTTGAAAAATTATCAGAAATGTTGGCTGAAGGATCTGCTAAACATGCCACAAAACACTGGAAAAAAATCACCATTTTAAGTACAGTATCATAATGAGCAATACATTTTAGAAAACTAAGCGATGTTGTATATGATATAACCTTAATAGGAAATATTCATTTCTAAATATGAAGACTGATTTGTCTCTGTATATAAACAAAAAAGCCTAAGGCCAGAAAGCTACTGGTAAGAATTTTACTCTCAGAAATATTTTTGCTTTATTTTATTTTTCCACCAGCCCTAAGTTAAAAGGGCACAGAATGAATCTTGGCAGCCTCAAATGCTCTGTCTTGTGTTCCTGAGGTGCCATCTGGCACAGGACTCGACTGCAGACAGCGCTTAATGACCATCCTGGCTGACAGCTATTACGGATGCGTCACTGCTACTGTTGCACGATCTGTGAGCAATTCTAACTAGAAGGATGACAGTCACAAATCTCAACAGAGTGTTATGTTGTTTTCCATTCCAAAAGCCTTTTAAGAATGTGATATTTAGCAAGAGTAAGCAGACTGGTTAACAAAGGTGGAACATGTCCTCATACATAATGAAATAGTCAATAAAAAGCAAAGGCACAATGCAGTCAGCACAGTTTTGTTCTGAGCAGCCCTGCTGCAGAACATCTTTGTTGGAAGCTAAGAACAATTCATTTGCTCATAATCCAAATCCAGAAGCCAGCATTGCTTTGAACTTCAAACAGAATGAAGACATATGTCATCTCAGACAAGAACATGTCTAATACATATTTCTTACACAAACTAAGACTTAAATGTGGGGAAAAAGTAGAAAAGAAACTGAAAGAAAGCTGAAATGAAAATGAGAAATTTAGAGCACATAATGAGATGTGAGAAACAAAGAAAGTATACTTTGTTGTTAACTTTTACTAAAGTAACTACTCATGACACTACACTACAGTTCAGGTGTGTAAGAGAACTTATTGATGACCTATTCGGCCATAAACTTAGAAATCTCATTCAAAGGAAATCATTAAAGTCTCACCACATCAAAAGGAATATTTTATGTTTTGGGGCACTTCACTTCTACAGAAAAAAAGCCTACTTTGTTTCCGATTTTAAGAAACTAACTCACCTTATAAATTAATCATTTTTATTTGTAGAACTTTGCCTTCAGCTAAAATATTGGCAGGTAACAAAAGGAAATCATGACCTTTAGTCCCTATTTTCTATCTATATATTGCACTACAAAGCTACATTTAAATGTTTGTGGGGATAGCATCAAAATAATACATTGCAATTGTGTATAAAGAACTGATTTAGTTTGCATAAAATAAATGGCATACTTTCATATATAAATGATATGATGGATCACCATTTATCCTTTCAGGGAAGGCTTTCTATATGCCATGCATGTGCCAGATCCTGGGCCTGCTAAGGTGGGGAAATGACATCCACTCTTGCCTCAAGGAACATGTCAGGAGATATGTAATCTGATATTTTCCAAAAACATGGACTAGATAGATGTATTCAATCACCAATCTTCTCTGGTCTTATCATATTTTTACGAGTGTTGTGGCTTTGTTAGGGAGATGACAGGCAAAACTGTAACAATGGTTAAAAGATGAGATAAGGCAAGAGAAGTTGAATATTCTGTGATCAATAGAAGAAATGATATTTAGGCATATATGATATCCCTACCCTCACCTTCAACCATATTAATGTTCTGGTACTTTCTAAACAAAGTCACATGAAAAGAAGGAAAGGTCTCTTACAGATGGAGGTCTAAAATTAGCTTACCTTGCAGGAAGCAGTACTCCAAACCATCATGTAATTTAGAAGCAGTGTCAGATGCTAAAAATTCAGAGGTAGGCAACAGTCTTTGGCCACCTTGGAAAATTACTTTCATTTTCCAGCTTTACTGAGGAATAATTGACAAATTAAAATTGTATATATGTAAGGGGTACAACATGGTGATTTCATATACACATTGTGAAATGATTACCACAATGAAGTTAATTAACATATTTACCACCTCACATAGTTTACTTTTGTGTGTGTGTGTAGTGAGAATGCTCAAGATTTACTCTTAGCAAATTTCATGTATACAATCCAACATTATTAGCTGTAGTCATCATGCTGTACAGAGATGCACAGAATGTATTCATTTTATAACTGAAATGATATGGTTTGGATCTGTGTCCCCACCCAAATCTCATGTTGAATTGTAGTCCCCAGTGTTGGAATGGGACTTGGTGGGAGGTGATTGGATCATGTGGATGGTTTCTAATGGCTTAGCACAAACCTCCTAGTGCTGTTCTCATGATAGAGTTCTCAGGGGATCTGGGTGTTTGAAAATGTGTGCCTGAGTTACTTCACTTAGAATAATAGTCTCCAATCTCATCCAGTTCACTGCAAATGCTATTAGTTCATTCCTTTTTATGACTGAGTATTATTCTATCATATATATATATATATATATATATATATATATATATATATATATATCAGTTTCTTTTTTTTTCTTTTTTTTTAAGCACCAAAATCTCAGAAGTCACTACTAAAGAACTTACTCATGTAACCAAATACCACCTGTACCCCAATAACTTATGGAAAATAAAATTTAAAAAATTAAACAACAAAAAAAGTGTGTGCCACCGCCTCACCCCTTTCTCCTCCTGCCAAGTAAGTCTTGCCTGTTTCCCCTTTGCCTTCTGCAGTGATTAAAAGTTTCCTGAGGCCTCCCCAGAAGCCGAGCAGATGCCAGCATTATGCTTCCTGTACAGCCTGCAGAACAGTGAGATAATTAAACCTCTTTTCTTTATCAATTACCCAGTTTCAGGTATTTCTTTATAGCAGTATGAGAATGGACTAATATATGAAAGTTTATAACCCTTGACCCACACTTCCCCACTTTCCCTTCTTCCCTCAGCCCCTGGCAGCCACCATTCTATTCTCTGCTTCTATGATTTTGACTAGTTCGGATTCTACATATAAGTGAGGTTATACAGTAATTGTCTTTCTGTATTTGGCTTATTTCATTTAGCATAATGTCTTCCAGCTTTGCTCATGTTGTCACAAATGGCAGGATTTCTTTCTTATTTATACCTAAATAATATTTTATTATATACTACATTGTCTTTATCCATTCATCTACTTACGGACACTTTGATGGACCACTTAGGTTGTTTCCCTAGCTTAGCTATTGAAAATAAAGCTGCTATTTAAAAACTTGGGCACACAAATAAATGAAAAGATATTCTGTGTTCATGTATTATAAGTATTAATACTGTTAAAATGCCCATACTGCCTAAAGCATTCTACATATTCAATGCAATCCCTATCAAAATTCCATGGTATTTTTCACCAAAATAGACAAAAATTACAAAAATTTGTATGGACTCACAAAATGCCCCAAATAGCCAAAGCAATTCTGAATTAAAAAAACAAAGCTAGAGACATAATGCTACCTGATTTCAAATTATATTACATATCTATAATAACCAAAACAGTATGATACTGACATAGAAGCAGATACCTAGGCCAATACAAGAGGATAAAGAGCCCAGAAACAAGCCCACACATATATAGTCACTTAATCTTTGAAAATGACACAAAGAATATACAGTGGGAAAATAAGAATCTTTTCAATGAATGGTGTTAAGAAAAGTAAATATCCACATACACAAGAATGAAACTGTATGCTTAATTTATGCCATACACAAAACTTGACTCAAAATGAATTAAAGACCTAATCATAAGGCCTGAAACTCTAAAACTTCTAGAAGAAAACATAGAAGGAAAGCTGTTTGACCTTGTTCTTGGCAATGTTTCTTTGCATAAGACACCAAAAACACACACAAGAAAAGCAAAAATAAACACAAGAGACTACAACAAACTAAAAAGCTTCTGTACAAAAAAAAATCGACAAAATGAAAAAGCAATTTATGGAATGGGAGAAGACATTTGCAAACCACACATCTTCATAAGGTGTTAATATTCAAAATATATAAAAACTCACACAACTCAACAGCAAAAAAATAAATTACTCAATTTTAGAGAAGGGATTTGAATAGATATTTTTCCCAAAGCCATCAGAAAAATGCCCAGTAGACACTTAAAAATGTGTTCAACATCACTAATCATCAGTGAATTGCAAATTAAAACCACAATGAGATATCACCTTATACATGTTAGAATAAATATTTTAAAAAGACAAGAAACAACAAGTGTTGGCAAAGGTGTAGAAAAAAAGGAATCCTTGTACACTATTGGTGAGAATGTAAATTGGTGCAGTCATCATGAAAAATAGTACAGAGATTTCTCAAAATATGAAAAATAGAACTACCATATGATTCATCAATTCTATTTCTGTGTATGTACCCAGAGGAAATGTCCATCCTGAGCAATTACTGAATGTTAACATGGCTTACATGAAATTAGAAAGTGAGTTCGGAAATGGAGATGCCCTTTTATCTTCAAAGGACGTCTTTCTTCCTAACCTCAAGGAATATTTTGTAAGCTCCTGGAAGACAGATAGGCAATAGTCAAAACATGTCAAGAAATAATAATTACTAAATGATAAGTGTAATCTTCAGTAATACACAAATTCTATATCTTGTAAAGTCAACCTGTGTGAGAATATTTAATGTATACTAACATGTACATCACCTCACATACTTACATTTTGTGGTGAGAATATTTATGTGTACATTTTTAAGCAATTTTCTAATATACATTATTATTATTAACTGTAGTTATACAACTATTGTGCATTTCTTTACTCTTATTTTTATATTTTTCAGATTTATCTATCATTCCATGTTTGTATACATATATGTGTGCATGTAAATCCATGTTTAATTTTATATTTTGAATGTCAAAGAAATAATAAGAATTATCAACTATTTGGCAATGGGTATAAAATTTTAGGACTATAATATAGCCATTCCTTTTATAAAAATTCATGCTAGAATATTATGGAAACATCTTAAACACATTATAGGTAATTTTGATTTCTTAAATAATGCATTCTGAATGCAATGCACTTTTAAAAAATAATGTCCATTGTCTGTACTCCTCCTTATTAATTCTAGTTGTTTAATTTGTGTCATAAAAATATGGAGCGTCTTTACAGAACTCTATACAACAGCCTTCTAACTCTTTAGTTTGCCATGTTTTTCTCCCATGCCAAAATTTCCTTAGAACCCCTAAAGTGATCTTTTTATAATACAAAACTGATTGCCATTTATGTTTAAAATAAAACAAAAATTAAACGTTGTCAATTGAACATTGACTAAAGTCTGCATTCCTTAATAAGATATACAAGATTCTCAAAATTCTTGTATCTTAACTCCAACACATCATTTTGAATTTTCCATTAATCTTGCAATTATGCCTCACATCCCAGCTTCATTAAATGCTTCAGTTCACCAAGTGCATTTCATTATAACAAATATTTATTGGACATCTTTTTTTTTTTTTTTTAAAAAGCAATTCCACTAATCATTTATACATATTCTCTCTTTTGTTTAGAATAATCTTTTCCACCAGTCAATGGCTGGGAACTCCCTTTTGATTTTCATTACCCAGTCCCATACTCCAGTATTAGAAAAATCTTGTTCAGCTCCCTCCTCGGAAATTTCAGAACATTTCCTCCTGCTTACTTGATGATAATTGTTTATTTACCTATCTATATCCTTGTGGGATGAAATGACTCTTCTCATTTATAACTGAGTTATAGCTGTTATAATTCATGGTTTTGTTAGTGATTTGAGGTTGAACTGAGGGAAAAAATCAAGTCTTACATATTGAGTTTTGGGTCTTCCCTGAAAGTGGAATAATTCATGGTATTCATCAATTGAAGAAATAGTGTACAACTAAACTAAGAAGGAAACCTCTAAGTAAACTTGGGAGAGAGAACTACAACTCTCATTCTCTCGATAATCATTTTACAAATCAAAGATGTCTAGCACATTGCCCCTGCCTGAGATCTTGTGTAGTGGTTACTTCCATGCAGATAATGGACAGGAGCTGAGAAGAAAAGCAACAAAGCTCCTGAAATAGTTAGGGGTGGAAGAGAACAAACCCTAACGGTAATTGGATTAATATGGGACTTTCAAGCTTAGAGTAAAAAATTATGTAAGATTAGAAGTATATACCTTTTTAAACAGCTTTTTTGGGCATTAACTACATACAATAAAATATATACCCACTTTGTCCATGTTCAGTAGGTTCTGTCTATAATGCCAGAACTTTGGGAGGCTGAGGCAAGAGGATCACTTGAGCCT